>NW_017363819.1:0-276292 GCF_000001405.40 Homo sapiens | reverse complement strand
GGATCAACACAGTCAGTTTGGGATTCTCTATTCAAGCTCTGATATTGATTTCATATTCGCCCTCTGGCTTCAGGCACTCACTTGGGTCAGGGGCACCCTACAGTCTGAGCCCCTTTCGGGGAGAGAGTGGAACAGAACATGGGTTTGAGGTCAGGTGGCTCTGGGTTCTGACCCTGAGTCCTTGAATCACTAGGTTTTGCTATCTTGGTCAATTTACCTGACCTCAGCTTTCCTATTTGTGAGATACAAAGAGAAATATTATATTGTAAGCTTGTTGTCAGCAGTGATTCTCAAAGTTTGGTCTTTGGAACATCAATCCTATGAGATGGAAAAGGTTTTTATTATCAAGTGAGTTTGGCAAATGCTCAATATCATATCCTCATCTTGGGAATTCTCAAATAACAAAAGAATGGGTTCCACTTTCATTAACTCAGTTTTTCTAAACAACAAAATTCCTTTTTGCAAGGAATACCTGTTAGCATCCTGTAGAACCAATGTTTTGTGTAATCCATGGTGGGGAAAGCTGCTTGGGAAGATCAGAAATGCTCAACACCAGGCCCTCTGCTCGGCTCCTGGCACATGCATCGTGGACACCAGGAAGCATGAGTGCCTGTTGCATTTCTTCCTAATGTCAGGTATGTTTGGTCAAACCTTTCCTGCTTCTGCTACAAAAAAAAGCATTTTAGGGTGTTGAGACAAGTAGTTTTCCCAAATATTTTTTGAGCCCTTCTCGTGAAAGGGAAATAACACAAACTGAAGTTAATGACATCTGTACTTTGGAGCCTCGCTCTGTCGCCCAGGCTGGAGTGCAGTGGCACGATCTCGGCTCACTGAAAGCACTGCCTCCCGGGTTCAAGAGATTCTCCTGATTCAGCCTCCCAAGTAGCTGAGACTGCAGGCACGCATCACCATGCCCAGTTAACTTTTATGTTTTCTTAGTAGAGATGGGTTTTTATCATGTTGGCCAGGCTGGTCTTGAACTCCTTACCTCAAGTGATCCACCCACCTCGGCCTCCCAAAGTGCGGGGATTACAGTCATGAGCCACCATGCCCAGCCCACATCTGTACTTTTAAAGCTAAAATATGAGCACTCATGAGCCTAGCTGTGAAGAACAGTCACTCTTGGATTTCTGGGAAGTGACTACTCAGACCTGCACCAACAGGAGTTGGTGAAGTTGGGTAACTTGCCCAATGTAGCAGAGTCTGAGCTCTTTCTAGTGACAACACCACCCCACACACAAATTAGGGTATGTCCCATCATGTAGGTCCAGGGGATCTGAATACCTTCATGTTTCATCCTTCTAAAAAAAAAGTCCAGCAATATGTATCCTAAAAGCCTTACAAAATCTTCCCATTTGGGGATGCCACTTCTGAAATTACTATAAGGAAACCATCTAAAATAAAGACAAAGAGCTGTGCATAAAAATATTCAGGCCAGGTGCCGTGGCTCACACTTGTAATTCCAGTGCTTTGGGAGGATGAGGGAAGAAGATTGCTTGAACCCAGGAATTTGAGGCTACGGTGAGCTATGATCACATGATTGCATTCCAGCCCGGGCAACAGAGTGAGACTTGTCTATTAAACAAACAAACAAACAAACAAACAAAAATGTATTCATCACAACATGATAATAGGCAGAACCAGAAACAACCCAACATTTGGAGAATAGTTAAATGTCCAACAGCTAGGGAATGATTAAATCCATTATGAGGCTTCTCTACATTAAATATCTTACAGCCATTTATAACCATGTTTATAAAGAATTTTGAATGATATGGAACATGCTTATACTATGAGGTTAAGGAAATAAAACAGGCTACAAAAATAAAATATATGTACTATAATAACAGCTATGTTGGTGCACAGAGAGAAAAACATTTACCAATATATTAGGAGTGGTTATTTCTGAGTGGCGAGATGATGAGTGATTTTTCATTCTATTCTATATATTTTTCTATATTTTCTTTTATTCTACATGTTTTTCTGTATTTCCAAGTTTTATACAATAGTGATCAAGAAAAGGTAATTATTTATTTAAAAAGAAAAAAAAAGACCCATGAGTTATCAGAACCCAGTAGATCTAAATGGCACTACAAACACTATTGTGTTCAGAGGTGTCTCCCCTATCTAAGCAGTGCCAGGTTAGGGAACGCCGCCCATCAACGTTCTAAGCAGTGCCAGGTTAGGGAACGCCACCCATCAACGTTCTAAGCAGTGCCAGGTTAGGGAATGCCGCCCATCAATGTTCTAAGCAGTGTCAGGTTAGGGAACGCCGCCCATCAACATTTCCCAAATTCCAGGAACCATCTGTTCCATAGTGTCATATCTGTGTAGAACCTACACCATTACTTAATATTTTCATAGAAATCAACTCAGTTTTTAAAATTTGATTACCTGTGTTTTAAGAAAAATTTTAAATCACTCTAAATGGAAAAATAATGTCACTTGCCATTAATGGAAAGTAATCACAAAAATAAATGCAATAAAACAAAACAATATCATTAAATTCTACAGTGGTAAACCTTCTGAGCTTGAGAGCTGCTTTTGCTCTGTTTGATAAAAGCAGGGGCTGAGGGAGAGTGTTTTCAGGCAGGAGGGACGGATTTACAAGGGTTTGAGAGTAAGCCTAGCCTAGCAACAGACCCCTCAAAGGATTCGGGAAGATTGAAAGACAATGAAAAAGATTTTCTCACTAGAGATTTTGATTTGTTTTTAATGATTTGCCCACCTACCACCCAAACTGCCTAGGATACGACAGCTGGGGAAAGTGCCATTCAACAAAGATTTGACCCCAGCCCATGAGTTGCTGACAGTGGAAGTCACATAAGTTAGATAAGTGTACCGGACTGAGTTCCTCCAGGACAGGAACTATTTCTTCTTAAGCTTGGTAGTCTCAGCACCCTGGACAGTGCCTGGCACATGGACTTGTTTGTTGAGTGAGTGAAGAAATGAATGAATACTGGGTTGTGACAGCCTTTTCCCCAAAGCAGGGCAGGCGCCCTGAGTCGCTCACATCACCCTTGGCTTTCAGTCCTCAGAGTACAGCAAGTGGAAGTTCACCAACAGCCCCACGTTCCTGGAGTTGCTGGAGGAGTTCCCATCCCTGCAGGTGTCTGCTGGCTTCCTGCTCTCCCTGCTCCCCATTCTGAAGCCCAGGTTTTACTCCATCAGCTCCTCCCAGGATCACACGCCCACAGCGATCCACCTGACTGTGGCCGTGCTCATGTACCACACTCGAGGTGAGCCTGGGGCAGAGGCTGTGGAGCAGTCACGCTCTGCCCCTTCAGTTCCCTCATCAGTTCAAGGAGGGAGGGAACACCTACAGCCCAGAGTTGTTAATGGTAATAGGAGGCATGTGGGAGACAGCTCTATGAACCAGGCAGTAAACCAAGCCTTCTGTATGTATATGATCAGTTACCATGTAGGGTAGGTACTGTGTGCATTTTACAGGTGGCACAGAAAGTCACACTGTGAGTAAGTGGAGAGCTGAGATTTGGACCTGGGTGGTCTAACTGCTGAGTCCAAGTCTTCCACCACTCCACTGTCCCACTACTCTTGAGACAATTTAATGAGATCAGACTTGGAGAGCACCCAACCCTTGGTGAGAGCCCAGTGGTCCTTAGTCTTCCTGATTGTGCAGCCTGAACGCAGGGGAGATTCTGCACTGGCTGTTCACTCACTCACTGAGCTCATTCAGTGACGGTTTATTTCACATCTCTCCGTGCTCAGCACTGGGGCAGGTGTGGAAATACAACAGACATCAGCCCTGCCCTCAGGGAGCATCTAGAGGCAGCAGTGGAGAGATGAGTGTAGAAATAATTAGATGATTCTCATTGTCCAGAAGCCAAGAAGGAAAGGTCAGCGTCACTGAGGACAGTGAAGAGGGGGTGACGCTGCCATAGAGTGGTAGGCCAACATCTCTTTCAGGTGGTCTTGGCTCCACCACTGGCCTCTGCCCCCCGCCCTGCCCTCTGTAACTGAGTGTTGCTTGGTTTGGCAAAGCTGGGAGCTGCCTATACTTCTGAGCCCTCTGTCTAGGAAACAAAAACACAGTTTCTAAAAACTGGCCAGAGACTCTGTTTGTCCTGCTAGAGAACACCCACCCAGACCAGGAGAGGAGAGGCAGACACGTCCTGTGAGAGCAAAATTTAATCCCGAGGAAAACCAGGGGGACCTCTGCAGTTGGTTGGAGGCCTCCTGCAAGTGCTGGGCCATTGTAAAAGAAATGCAACCCAGAGAAACCTCCTGGGTTTCTACCAGCCCAGGAGGGGCAACTGAGGAGGAAAGCGAGGTGCCAGAGCAGGCTGAAACGCGCGGAGCTCATCCGCCACCCAGGGTTGCAACCAGCAAGGGCCACGCTCATGAGCACGCACAGCAGTAGCCACCCCGAGGGGCCACTTCCTGCTGCTGTCAGTGGAGCTCAGTGGTGAGCTGGGAGTGTTCCTGGAGAAACTCTTTGGAAGGAGCACTGGAGTAGGAGTCAGGGAAGCTGAGCTGTCCTGATTTCACCATGACCTGAGTGACCTTGTCCAAGTCACTCTTCCTCTCCGGGACTCACTTTCTGCGTTGAAGATGGAGCAACTCGCAACCTCTCTAAGTCCCTTTCAACCTTCCTCAGCTCTGGGCTCACAGCGGGTGGATCTCAGAACCAGGAGGACAAAGAGCTGCTCATTGAGTCCTGAGAGTGCCTGAGTGGGGGCGTCCAAGGAGGCCGTGGTGTGGGCGGAGCAGCTGGTACAGTTTGCGCATGGGCAGTGGGGGGACGTTGGTCACTTTGTGGTATCGTTGCAGATGGCCAGGGTCCCCTGCACCACGGCGTCTGCGGCACATGGCTCAACAACTGAAGCCCCAAGACCAAGTGTCCTGCTTTGTGCGGAAGTAAGCACCCCTTCCACTCTGTCCCCTGTGGGACCGCCGACCCCTGGAGGTTCGGGGAGGAAAGGGAGGGATCTGGGGTTTAGGTGCCGCTCGGGGCTCCTTGGCCCACAAAGAAGACACTGGGGTCACACTGGTGTGGCTGTCTCTAGCAGAGACAGCGATGACAGCAGAGCTGGAAGGGCCCAGAGTCCAGTGAGCTTGGCCCTTTTTCAGAAGGACCTGGGGGAGGTGCTGGTGGCTGGACAGAAGTGAAGCCGCCTGCAGGGCGTGGGAAATCAAATAGGAGCTGCTCTCCACCCGCTACGACCGCTCCCCACAGGCCCAGCTCCCCAGCCATCCTGTGTGTGCGTGGGCCCGGGGTGTCTGAGGACTGGCCCCCTCTTCTCCTGTCCTCTTCAGCGCCAGCGGCTTCCGGCTCCCCGAGGACCCCTCCCATCCTCGTGTCCTCATCGGGCCTGGCACAGGCATCGCTCCCTTCCTCAGTTTCTGGCAGCAGCGGCTCCATGACTCCCAGCAAAAGGGTGTGGCTGGAGGCTTCCCAGGTGGGAGGGTACCAGAGGCCAGCGCCTGCCTAGGAGCAGAACCGTAGCCCCACAAACGGTTCCTGGACCTCTCTGGAGGGAAGGCCTCCCAAGTTTGTCTCCCTGTGTGGGGCCTATGTGGGTGAGAACGGCCGCCTTCCTGTCTCCGGCATTGGAACCGGGGCTCCCTCTCTCGGGAGTGGAGGTAACGGGAAAGTCCCTGCTTTTGACCTCCGATGGGCTGAGGGAATCCTGCATCTGCACTTTCAGTTGTGTGACTATGTATGAGTGATTGGAATGCCCTGGGCCTCAGTTTCTTCATCTGTAAAGTGGGGATAATGCTATTAACTAGCTAGGATACTTGTGGGAGTGAAGTGAGAATTCCAGTTCGGCTTTGAGCCATAGCGCCCTGCTGGCCAACATGGTAACAACAGCCCGGGACTCCTGCAGGAGTGCAGGGAGGCCGCATGACCCCGGTGTTCGAGTGCCGCAGCCCAAATGAGGACCACATCTACCAGGAGGAGATGCTGGAGATGGCTCGGAAGGGGGTGCTGCCTGCGGTGCCCACAGCCTATTCCTGCCTGCCTGGCAAGCCCAAGGTAAATGCAGCCTCAAAGCAGGTGAAGCAGTACACAACGCAGGCTCCAGTGTGAGCCCGGGGTCCCCACAGGCCCCTCGCCTCCCTGAGCCTGCAGCTCCTGAGCTCTAAAATGCAGGTAATTCACAACCATCAGAGTGGGGCTGTGAAGACTGTTACGCCCTCTCTTCCAAGAGAAGTGACAGGACCGGAGAGGTTCAGGACTAACCTAGGTCACAGGCGGGTTGAGCCCAGAGCCCAGCCTGCTGAAGGTCGTCAGCAGGCCCCCGGGACAGGCGACTCCCCTGGGAGAGGTGGTCCAGGCCGGCTACGTTCAAACCCACCATGGCCCTCAGACGGGCTCACCTGCCCCCAGGGCCGCGTTGCCCTCTGAGCCTGAGGTGTCAGAATAGACTCTCGGCTCTCACACATTTGTTGCCATCAGGGCACCTCTCGGGCCCAGTGCTCTATGCCCAGTGCTGGGGCCACTGGGCATCCTGTGTGGAGCAGGAGCAGAGAGTCCCCGACTGACTCCTGGACCTTCTAACTGGGAAGCCCGGGATCCGTACCCTGCAGGGACCCGATGGACAGTCTGCATTGAGAGGGTACTTTTCAGGGGTGTAGGCAGAGCCCTGGGCAGGGGGACTGCCTTCATTGATGCCTCTTTGAAGCATGGCAAATTCAGAGACAGTCTGGGAGCCCCACTGGACAGTCTGCCCCTTGAGGGCAGGCCTGTGTCCAGCATTTATCTCTCTACTCCCAGCCCAGCCCCCAGAGCATCTGTGCTCCTCCTCATCCTGAGCCTGGACCTGTGCAAGGTCGTGGCTGGGAGGGGACTCACTCCACAGCCCTTAGTGCCCTCTCCCCACCTCCCTGAGGCCAGCAGTCCTGCCTGCAATCCTTGTCTCCAGTGGCCGGGAACTGGACCCACCGTTTCCTCTGGTTTTAGGTCTGTGTTCAGGACATCCTGCAGCAGCAGCTGGCCAGCGAGGTGCTCCGTGTGCTCCACAAGGAGCCGGGCCACCTCTATGTTTGCAGGGCTGTGTGCATGGCCTGGGATGTGGCCCACACCCTAGCAGCTGGTGGCTGCCTAGCTGAACTTGAATGAGGAGCAGGTCGAGGACTATTTCTTTCAGCTCAAGGTGTAATAGTGGGTGTATGGGCTGAGGGTCCTGGCCAAGGGCACAGGCTATTGGAGCCAGGACCAGGGGTGGCAGGTAGACCCAGGGGAGTCAGGCCCAGAAAAGTTCTGGACCCCAAGGGAATCTTAGCAGTGGCTGGGATCTGAGCTGGGTGGGCTGTCAGAAGGCCCCACTGCACATCCTGGACTGGTTGGCAGCTTTGAGAAGTCAGGTGAATGTGTTCCATTTTTCCATCTGTGGAATGGGAGCAAGAGAGTCTACTTGCCCTCTCCCCAAACCCCCCTTTCAGAAAGTATCTGTGTGGCCAAAGCAAGGCTGTGAACACAGGGGAGAGCAAGGCTGCCCCCCGTCAGCCTCGTGTGAACCTCACACTTCTTATTTACACACAGGCTGGCGTCTGCTCACCCTCATCCTCCCAGCAGGAAGGGCTTGCATTTTATTGATGAAGATAATAGTGATATTTATCAAGGGCTTACACTGGGCCAAGTGCTTGCCAAGGATTCTCATGTGACATTTCTTTCAGTCCTGCCGAGGACTTTATGAGGGAAGCACCCTGTTTTACAGAGGGAAGGGGGCCTATGGGGTCTACAGCAGTGAGAGCCTAGAGTTCAGTCTGCGTCTCTCTGATTCCAAAGCCTGTGATTGTGACTTCCATACTCTCCCTAAGACACATTCATACATTCAACTGAATATTTATTGAGCACCTACTGTGTGCTAGGGATAGAGCAGTAAATGAATCAGGCAAAAATTATTTACATTCCACTGGGGCTGACAAACCCAAACAAGGAAGAGGTGTAGTGCTTCGGAGAAAAACAGCAGGAAATAGCCCAGGGGACACTGGGGAGTGTAATTTTAAATAGGGTGGCCAGGGAAGGCGGAGCTGGAAGGCGGCGTCTGAGAATAAACCTGAGATGGTGAGGAGGAGCCCCGTGGATACTGAAGGAAACACTCTGGGCTGTTCTGGAGAGGGCAGCAGATACAAAGGCCCGGGGGTGGGAGTTAAGCTGGCGTGTTTGAAGAACAGTGAGGAGATAACAGGCATTTCCCCAAATGTGTTAAATGAGTCGGTAGATGTTTGGCATCCAAAAGGTTACAAGGTCGAATAGCCTAGGACATGCTTAGTTAAGCCAAGGCAAGCACGTTGCTTTACTACAAGACTTCTGGGGGCCTTCAACGTGCTGCTGTGCATCGGGACCCTTCAAGGCTGGGAGGAAAGAAAGGATGTAGCATTTCCCAAATGTGTTAATCTGAAAGCTCACACTTCCTGGAGCATCTTGGGTGGGGGATGAGCACAGGGCAGGAAATGGGAATGCCAAGTAAAGCTTTGGAAATGGTTAGAGGGCCTGCTCCAGAGCAGGTGCTGAGCGGGTTTAGGGTCTAAACCAGATTCAAGCGCAATCAAAGTATAACAGTTGGGAAGACAGATGGCTCATGAAGGTCCATGTGATAGGGAAGCTGGGCAACCCCAGGGGCTCATTCCAGCCTGGACTTGACACATTGGTCTCTGTTTTTACCTAAAAGAGCCAGAAGCACTTCCATGACGATATCTTTGGTGCTGTATTTCCCTACGAGGCAAAGAAGGACAGGGCGGCGGTGCAGCCCAGCAGCCTGGAGATGTCAGCGCTCTGAGGGCCCACAGGAGGGGTTAAAGCTGCCAGCACAGAACTTAACGATGGAGCCAGCTCTGCATTATCCGAGGTCACAGGGCCTGGGGAGATGGAGGAAAGTGATATCCCCCAGCCTCACTTCTTATTTCTCACCTCGTTCCCCATCAAGCCCTTTACTTGACCTCCTACCAAGTAGCACCCTGGATTGATCGGAGCCTCCTCTCTCAAGCTGGGGCCACCCTGGTCCCTTGGAGACGAAATCTTCAATGCCAGGCCTGGCAAGTGGGTGAAAGATGGAACCCGCTGCTGAGTGCACCACTTCAAGTGACCACCAGGAAGTGCCGTCACACCACTGTGTATTTAACTGCCATGGGTAAAATTATTTATGCCTCTGTTTAAAAAACGAACACCCTAGTCTGTTCCTAATGGCCCCTTGGGTCTTCTCTGTATGATTCCCTGATGGAGATATTTACATGCATTGAATTTTACTTTAATCACACTGTATGTGTGTTTGTTGGGTGGGCTGGTGGGGGATGTTTTGTAGGGAATGTGGCCCTCAGTTATAGAGTGGGGAGCTGGTGGGTGTCGCAGCCTGGACAGATGCCCCACAGAGGGACACCCCAGGCAGGCCACGGCTCCTCTGAAATGGCTGCCAGGTGTGACAGCAGCAGATGGAGCTTCGTGCTGGTCCAAAGACCTGCGGTAGGGTGGACGGCACAGGCCTGCCTCCCACACAAAGGATCTGACGTGGGGTCTGGCAAGAGTGGGATTCTCATATGAGGCCAGAGCTTCAGGGAAGGTCTTGAGCTTCTTCTTGGACACTGTCTTAGAAAGGTTTTGCTCTGGGGCCACCTGTCTCACGTGAGTTTGGCCAGTACAGATGTGGCCTCTGGGAACGCAGGGTGTCAAAGCGAGTGTGGGCCACAGCATCCTCGCCCAAGGGACTGAAGACCCTCCTGGGTTTGGAGACGGCCAAGGAAGGCTTTTTAAGAGACTAGGTCCATTTCCTTCTCCTGGTCAGAACCAAGGAAGGAGCTCAGTGGCGGCCTCTGGGGTCCTGGCAACACGTGGTTCCCAGCTGGGGTTTGGCCTGTGCCTCCTGGGCCAGGCCCAGGACCCTCCCCCTCCCCTCCTCCTTCCAGCAGCAGCGTCTCAGGTGGCAGGAGAAGGTGCAGTGCCAACTTCAGGCTCCAGACGTGCCCTGCCCTGCGTGGCAGCCGTGCATCTCAGCAACACGGCCAGGAGTCCGCTCCGGACCAGGGCTTCCCCGCTTTCATGTGCGGGCCTCATCTGGGGTCCCGTGAAGACAGAGACTCTGATCTCGCAGGTGGGGTGGGGTGCGGGATGCTGCGTTTCCAACAAGCTCTCAGTCGCTGCTGCTGCCACCACTCTGAGGACTACACGGGGGCCTGAGGAACTGTATTCTTGCTGGGCCAAGCAGGATGTATTGGCATCACGTTGACGCGGAGCTGGGCTGTCTGGCGGTGGCTCAGTGGCTGGCAGAACCCCACACATGGACACTGAGCCACTTTTCTCATGCGAGTCCTAACCCTATTGCCAGGGAGACCCACAATGGAACACACACCCATACGGTGCTTCGGGTCGGCCTCTCCTGACACCCCTTCCCCAAGCCACCTCCTCCCACTGGGATGCCAGGTCCGAGGAGCCAGCTCTGGCCCTGCTGTGGCCCTCACAGGCTCTGCCCCAGCCCGCCTCCCATCTCAGAGGCATGGGGCTGTTTCCTGGGGTCCCCCATTACCACCTTTCCTGTGTCCGAGACTCCTGCCCAAAAGACTAGAGCCCCAGCCTGCTTTCTCCAACACCCTCATGGGACGGTGGCTCTCTTCTCATAGCTCCCCTAGACACTGGCCCAGAGGGGGCTCTGTGTGGGGGCTTCAACCCCACATTTCCCTTCCACACTGCCCTGGTGAAGTCATCCCTGAGACCTGATAATTCTAGACCCTGTGGCCACCAGAGGAGCCCATGCATTGGCTTCCTTTTTTGTTTTTTTTTTTTTGACAGAGCCTTGCTCTGTCACCCAGGCTGGAGTGCAGTGGTGCAGTCTCGGCTCACTGCAACCTCTGCCTCCCGGGTTAAAGTGATTCTTGTGTCTCAGCCTCCCAAGTAACTGGGACTACAGATACCCACCGCCACCACCACCATGCCCAGCTCGTTTTTCGTTTTTTTGTTTGTTTGTTTGTTTTTGAGATAGAGTTTCACTCTTGTTGCCCAGGCTGGAGTTCAATGGCGCAATTGCGGCTCACTGCAACCTCCACCTCCCAGGTTCAAGCCATTCTCCTGCCTCAGCCTCCCAGGTAGACGGAATTACAGGTGTGCACCACCACGCCTGGCTAATTTTGTATTTTTAGTAGAGATGGGGTTTCTTCATGTTGGACAGGCGAGTCACGAGCTCCCAACCTCAGGTGATCCACCTGCCTCAGCCTCCCAAAGTGCTGGGATTACAGGCGTGAGCCAGCATACCCGGCCATTAATCCTTTTTTAATTAGGAGTTGTGAGGTCAGGACCCCCTGCCCAAAGGGAGTCCATGCTCTCCCATCCCACTCCTCTCAGCAGCCCCTCCGCCTGATTCCACAGATTCCAAAATGTCTCCAAATGAATTAAAGAAGCCACAGTCAACCCACATGAATGTGCCAACAAGCATTTTCATTTCTTTATTTTAAGGACACTGGGAAAGGAGCCAGTCCCCTGAAGAGAACACTCTGGTCAGTTGGTGGAGGCCAGTGGGAAGCCATCAGGCCTGCTTTCCAGGAGGGGTGAAGGGTTGGTGCAGGGTGCAAGGTGAGAGTGAGGTTAAAGGTCAGAGAGGAGGGGCTGAGGAGGCCATCTCCCACCAGGAGCAGACAGCTGGTGGCTTGAGACTGGGGTGGAGCTGCGTGGGGGATGGGAGGGGACTGAGCATGGGGCTTCATCTTCACTGCCCACTCCTCCCCTCTCCCTGGCTGTGCCCGCCTTCTGGGATTGTAGGATTCCAGCAGCTGGCGCCCCAGGTGCTGCTGCGGCTGAGGAAGGCAATCCCAGTCAGCTGCCTTCTCGATTCCAGGGTGGCTGTAGCCAGAAGCAGGACCAGATAAGGACATGGCCTCTGCATTAAAGCCCAGATCCCAGGCACGGTTGGAAAGGCTGGGCCTGGGAAGTGGGGATGATGAGAGGACCCAGACTGCCCCACACCCCAGCCCCCGGCCCCAGGGCCAGGGAGCCGCCTATGTCTGCACGTGGGTCAGCTGGATGTCGCCACCCACTTCCAGTTTGTTGATGGTGGGCAGGTTCCTCAGGCGATGGTAGTATTCAAACACGTGCTGACCATCCACGGCCACCTTGAGGCAGTGAGCTTCACACAAGATCCACACCTGTGCAGAGATTATGCCGTTTGCACTACACTTGGGAAGTCCTCCACCCTCACTGCAGCCTCCTCTCTCCCTCCCTCCCTCCCTCCTCAGTTGTTAATAAGCCCCTCACCTGCACTCTATCCCCACTGAGCGACCGGCTCTTCACTAAACAGGCTGTGCGTGCTCCTTCCCCTGTACTGTTCCCTGGCGTAGAATACTGTTCCCACGACATCAGGGACAGGAGCACTGGCCTGTGCCATCTGTATCCCTCGGACCCAGCACACAGGAGTGCTCTGGGCCTGGGCTCCTGCAGCATCAGCCTCCTAACTTGTCTTTTCCACCCCAATGCCTTCTCCATGAGGCAGTCAGGGTACAAATGTTAAAACCTCCTGCCCTTTGCAATAGCTGACACTCCTAACACACATGCCATGTGTAAGGCACTGTCCTAAGCGTGCTACAGATACTGCCTCATTCCATTCTTACAGCTCTAGGAGATTCATATGATTATTAGCTCCATTTTGTAGATGAGGAAACTGAAGCACAGAGTAGCTAAGTCACTTGCCCGAGGTCACACAGCTGTCCACAAATCAAAGAATGTTGCTCCCTGGCTCCATGGCTGCAAAGCCCTACATCAGTCATTTTCAACTCTGATTGCAGAGTGTAATCACTTCAGGCATATTTTAAAAATACAAATGCCCAGGCTGACCGCCTCATTGGCCTGGGCTGGGGTCCCAGCACCTATATGTTCTTTGTAAGCTCTCTGGGTGATTTGAATGTGTAGTCAGGGCGGAGCACGCCTGCTGCTGTTCCTGGAGAGGCCACACCCACACCTCTGCATGTTGGCCCTAGCTGCCCCTCCCAGGCTCGCTCTATCTCATCGCTCTGTTTTGCTTTCTGCGTGGCACTGTTGTTATCTGCAACAATCTGTTCATGCTTTAGTTTCCTTGTTCCTTCCCCCAGCTAAATTGTAAACTCTCTGGAGGAAGGACCCTACGTGTCTGCTTCATGACTGCGCTCCCAGCATGTGGAGTGCTTCCTGCACAAAGCGGGCGACAGTGAAATCGTTGAATGAGTCAGTGAAGAAATGAATAACACCTCCTTCTTGGGTCTGATTTGACACTTACTGACTGTGTGACCGCAAGCAAGTAACCTGCACTTGTGAGTTTCTTTCCTCATCTAAAAAAGCAGATCCCAACGCTTCCTTCATGCAGGACAGTAATAATTATTAATAATAATGACAATAATTTTTTGGCCACCTTTTCTTCTGGGCCCTCATCCCAGAGGCATCAGCTCCCATCCTGTTCAAGGTACCCCAGACCTCCTTTACCCCCTCCCCGTGTACCCATAGGAGCCTCCTCAAGCTCCAGGCTGCGGCGCCTTACCGAGAAGCTCTGGCCTCGGACGAAGGGCATTTTTCGGGGCAGACTTCGCTCCTCAGACCCCCAAGAGTTGTTGATCTGGGTGTTACGGACCACAGCATTCTCATCAAAACGGGGGTTCATGTGGAAGGCGATGTGGCTCCCAGAGCACAGGTTGATGTGGAACCTGGGGTGGGCAGCCTACCTGGACCTTTGTCCACTGAGTTCTGAGCCCCATTTCCTCCCCATCATCCCCAGCCTGCCAAAAGCCAGGGGAATGGCTGGAATGACCTTGAAGGGCTCTCTCTTCCCAGAGGTCACTGGAGCCTTTGGCTTACCTCTGAGCACTGGGCAGGACAGTGCCTGACAGGATGATGGACTTGGATGGGTACAGCCCTCCCGGAATGGTGGTGATGAAAGGCATCGGCTGTCAGAAGGACGGGGACAGGTCAGCCAGTGGCAGTCAGGGCAGCCGCCACATGGAAGGGGAAGATTGTACCAGTTCCCATGAATTTAGGCTGTCAGCTGAGAAGAAGCCCACGATATCTTTCCTTGGTTCCATAAAAGCCAAAGGAAAACTTTCCGGTGCTCCTCAAATTAATGGGCTTAGATTAGTGTCATGAAAGGAAATTTGGCCAAACACAGAAAGAAAGACTCGTGGGGTGAAAAGGGAGGGCCATGCAATGTGCTCACGTTGACACGACAGTTTTAAGGTTGAAAGCTCCTCTCCACAGTCTTCTAATTCACTGGGACGCTTTGAAGCCCTTCAGCTTACCATTTTGAAAGCCCTTCGCTTTTCATTTTTCAAGGCCAGCGGATCCCCCCGTAGCGGCCCTTCATCCCTAGCCTGCCCACCACAAACAGAACCTCTGCCCTCCCTGAGAAACCACTTACATAGGCAGGGTGGGGGTACATCATAGGTGGGATGGCGGGAGTCTGCTGAAAAGAAACCAGGAAATTCAATGGGAGAGCGCATGTGTGCGCGAGCACTCACCCACGCGCACCCACGCATTCTAGAGGGGGCTCCACTGTGAGGCTGACCTCATGAGCCTTTGGCCCTTGGACTCTCCCGTAAACCTCCGTTTTCATGTTAGCCTTCCTGGAACTTCCTGCCGTGTTCCCAGACCCCACCATGGTCACCTGCCCCTCAGCCCCTCCGCAGGCAGCCCCACTAATGCTAAGTTCCCGGCCTGATTTGCACCAGCAGGAGAAGAGCTTAAGCCTGTGATCTGTAGTGACATCCCGGGGACCCAGGAGGCAGGGCCAGGAACCTCACATCCGGGTGCTGGGGCCACTGCACTCCCCACTTGGTGACAGAAGGACCAGTTTCCCTCCCAGTCTCTAGGGAACCTGCCTCTTCCACCACTGGATAAATCCAGAATCTCTGCTGTCCCAAGGATAGTTTTAACCACATGTCACCTGAGCCAAGGACTCAGCCCCAGATGTCCCCACCCTCCTTGCTAAACCGCTTTCTTCCCAACTCTAGGGCTCTAGGGAGTTTAGTTCTTGGGGAAGGAGGGCACTGTGCAGCTGTGAACTGATCAGAACTTGAAGACTTACAGAGAACATCTGTCCAGAGGCACTCTGCACCGTGTGGATGACTGTCTGGGTCTGGAAGAAAGAAACCAGGTCTCACCCAGGCTCTCCTGAGTAAAGACCACCCCAGCTCCCACCAGAGGGTGCCACACGGCAGGCACCCTCCAGGGGCATAACCAGCCCAGTGGCCCCACAGACCCCACGGAGGGTGGGTCCAGGGGACGAGGGAGAGGCAAAGGTTAGGACCCTGGAGAAGACAGATGGGGACGCTGGTGGCTCTGGCCCATCTTTCCTCTCGGGGAAACGTCTCTCAGCCTAGCCTCCCTTTGCAGGTGAGAGAAGTGAACGTGGGGCATGGTCTTCCGTGGCTGCCCATGGAGTGGCAACTCAGGTTGTTCCATCACGGCCAGCCAACCACATTCACCCACCAACCTCGCCAGGCCGGGTAGATGGTCAAGGGCCTGGCCTCTGCCCTCCCCACTCCCGATGGGAGAGGCCCAATGCCTGGCCCTGCATCCTCCATTAGCCCAGAAGAAGAGCCAAAATCAAGAGGATCCAAAAAGAAAGCAAGAGACTTACAATGGGAGCTGGGTTGGCAGGCCGCACGCTGGGAGGCTGGAGGGGTGAGGAGAGTCAGAACGGTGGTTATTGCGGGCACCACAGAACGGGGAGAGACGATGGCAGAACTCCAGGGAGGCTCTTGTGCTCAGAAATGCCTCCCCAGACACACCCACCTCCCTCTTGCTCCCAAGCAAGCCTTCCTGAGCCCGTGGCACCCAGATTTTTACCCTCAGGTGCACAAGGCTTTGGGGTTGAGGGGTAGGGTATCCCCACTGGTTCCTCTCGAGAGAGAGGAGGCTGGGTTTGATAGAGACCTCATTGCTGTCTGTAGCTCCCACAGCCAAGAGCATTACTTCCGGTGCCATATTTCACCCGTAAGCTGAGAAGTGGTATTTGTTGAAGGCCTATTGTGGGCCGAGTCCTGGGCTTCAGTGCTTTCCAAAGAGGGAAGCAGCCTCAGCTCCTGTGTCCCTGGTGAGGCAATGAGGCTCAGAAAGATTAAGCAACTTGCCCAAGCTTGCCCGGGTGGAAGGGATCAAATCCAAAATGGCAGCCAATTCTGTCTGACTGTATCCAGCACACTTTCTGTCATCCCTAGGGCCAGGGCCAGCGCCAGGGCCAGGGCCAAAGTTTGGCTGCCCTGCGAATGTTCCCTGGGGCTCCACCAGTCCTGAAGTCAGCGTGGCAGGAGGCAGGTGCACTGTCTGTACCATCATGGGCCATAAAAAGGCTACATAGACAAAGCGCCCCTCCTCCCAGTCCCCACTGCTTGAGTGGCCAGAGGAAGGGCTGCCCACCTCCTTGTCGTGGATCCTGCCCCACCCAGTAGACTGTTCTTGCCCTGGCTGGTATCCCATTCTCCCTGGCTGCGAAAACCACATTCCACATTCATCCATTCTTCGAGTCCCTAAGTGAGTGCCAGGCACTGTGCAAATGAACGACCCACAGTCCCAGCCCTCTGGGGCCTCATGGGCATAGGGAGATGGGGGTGGAGTGACAGGGACAGACACGCAAACAGTTACAATGGGGTGCTGTGAACTGGCATGGCACAGATATGTACAGACTCCGTGGGGGCATGGGGGGAGCATCCAACAATATTCTGGGCAGGGAGGACTCCCAGAGGAGCGACACTTTGGCAGAGCATGGAAGGGCGATTAGGCGTGTGCTGAGGGCAGGCTGGCAGAGGGTGCTTCCGGGACCAGGGACAGCATATGCAAAAGCATGGTGGCCCGAGAGGGCCTTGAGTGAGCCGTGGAGGTTGCATGAGCTTCGTGGGTTGGGGGTGAGGCAAGGAGGTGGACTGGGGCCAGACTGGGGAGGAATTCGTATGCCCTGCTGGGGAATTTGGGCTTTGTTTAAAGGGCTGGGGACTTTTAAGATTTTTAAGCAGGGAGAGAGTGTGATCAGATTTGCTTATAAGAAGGTCACTGTGGCAGCGGTTGGGTGTGGGGGGTGGGGAACTGGACCCCTGTAGTCATGGTGAGGAATCCCAGAGGCCTGGGCCACATCGGTGGCTTTGGGAGGGAGATATGTTGGTGCCTTGGAGAGACATAAAGAAAGGGTAGTGAAGAATCCAGGGCAACACCCAGGTCCCCGGCTCTGGGTGCCCAGCAGACAGAGACAGGGAACTCTTGAGTGGGCAAGATGTGGCCCATAGGCCCTGGTGGCCTGCTGGCTGGGGCCAGCCTCTCAAACCCTCGGTCCTTCCTGCTGTCTGCTCAGCCACCCAGGGCCTCTGTGTTGAACTCACTTTTTGTCTGCGCCCCCTGGGCCTGGGTGGGAAACAGACAGGCTGGGAGAACGGCACCGTGGAGAAGGCAGGCTGAACGGGGACTGCGCGGGGATTCTGTTAAAACAAAAGGCACCGGCCGGTGAGGAGAAGCATTAATAGAGCCAAGGAGAAGCCGAAAGGCAGATGCAGGGGCAGGAGGCAGAGAACAGGCAGGCAGGGGGATGCAGCAAGGGGGTTAGGGCCACACGGAGGCGGGAGCGGAAAGGGCCAGGCTTCGGTGAGCAGCGCAGGGGGACAGTCTCCCTCCAGCTCTTCCCTCCCCTTCCACCCGCAGGGGAGAGAGTCAGGGAAGGAGGGAATGAGAGATGAGGACCAAAGGGTGAGGAGCCCAGATTTGCTGAGGGCCTACTGTGCACTTCGCTCATCTCAGGGAGCTCCCTTGAATGCCAAAAGGGTAACAGCAGCTCCCATCCAGCTGCCGGTGCCCTGTGGGAATGTGGGCCCAGCATACCCTAATCTTCCCATTTTTCACGTGGTGTTGGTATCTCCTGACCTTCTTTAGTTTTATTTATTTTATTTTATTATTCAAACAAAAAGATTTTAGAGATGGGGTCTTGCTATGTTGCTCAGGCAGAACTCTAATTCCTGGGCTCAAGCGATTCTCCTGCCTCAGCCTCTTGAGTAACCAGGATTGCAGACCTCCACCACCATACCTGGGTCTCCTGACCTTTTAGATGTTGGCAACGCATTCAAAGTTTTTAAAACACAGAGGTCACACAGACCCTGGTGTGGGCCCAGGGGCGCCATTGTGTGACCTCTGATATCTGTCTCCTCAATGAATCACACAACCACCCATGGGGGGCAGGCAATGACCATGCTCATTCTACAGATGACAAAACTGAGGCTGAGAGAGGCAAAGTTGCTTGTCTAAGATCCCACAGATGACGAATGGCAGAGCTGGGAATTTGAACTGGATTCAGTTTGGTTCTTGAGCCTGGGCTCTTTCTAGAACAATATGCCCTCCTTACCAGGATGGAAATTGACGGATGAAGAGAAAGGGGCAGCTGAGGAGTCTGGGAGACCAAGGCAGGTGTTCCAGACAGAGACAGTGACACAGAAGGAGGGGCAGAGTGACAGAGGAGAAGGGGCGGGCAGGTACTGGGACAGGGAAGCAGAGGTTGTCCCCAGAGTGACCTGGGTAGGAGATTGGCTTGGGTCCCCCCAGCTGGGCCTAAGCACAGCTACGCTGGGCCCTGCATCCCAGCCCCTGGGACCGGTGCCAGGTGGACAGTCTGACCTGGAAGCTGATGTAGGACAGCTGCACAGAGCCATTGACGGAGATGGTGTCCACACGGTGGAAGGGCACGCGGTGGAAGTACTGCACGAAGAGGCTCCCGTTCACCATCACCTGCCAGAGGAGAGCACGTATTTCGGGGGAGGTGCCCCAGGCCGGGATGGGGACCACCCCTGAGCTCCTGGTCCCTCCTTCTAAAAAATGAAGACCTGAGTCTGGTCTTCAGTGTGGGGCCAGTTACAGGGACGTGTGTGTGGCCCGAAGTGCATCAACCGGAGTCTCTACTGGGCTCCAGTCGGGCTTTCCATTCTTCTGGTTGTTTCCTTCCCCTTTCTTCTCACTCCTCGATTTCCAGCCTGGTTAGGAGGCCATATTGTTCCAGAAAGAGCCCATGCTCAGGAACCAAACTGAATTTCCTGGGGTTTCATTTATTTATTATTTTTCCTTCAACTTTTTTTTTTTTTTTTTGAGATAGAGTGTCACTCTGTCAGCCAGGCTGCAGTGCAGTGGTTCAAGCGATTCTCCTGCCTCAGCCTCCCGAGTAGCTGGGATTACAGGCATCCACCACCACACCAAGCTAATGTTTGTATTTTTAGTAGAGACGGGATTTCACCATGTTGGCCAGGCAGGTCTTGAACTCCTGACCTCAAGCCATCTGTCCTCCTCACCCTCCCAAAGTGCTTGGATTATAAGGGTGAGCCGCCGTGCCCAGCCCCTTCAACTTTTATTTTAAGTTCCAGGGTATGAGTATAGGATCTGCAGGTTTGTTAACTAGGTAAATGTGTGCCACAGTGTTTTGCTGCACAGATCAACCCTTCACCTTGGTATCAAGCCCAGCATCCATTAGCTAATCTTCCTGATGCTCTCCGTCCCCGACCAGGCCCCAGTGTGTGTTGTTTCCCCGCTTGTGTCCATGTGTTCTCATCGTTCAGCTCCTACTTATAAGTGAGAACTTGCGGTGTTTGGTTTTCTGCTCCTGCAACGGCTTCCAGCTCCATCCATGTTCCTGTAAAGGACATGATCTCATTCCTTTTTAGGACTGCAGGGGTATTATTTAAATATGCATAAAATGCTCACGGGGAGCAGAGGAGAGGTGACATCGGGTTGCATACTGAATGGATGGGAACATCCTTATCTCAGATAAGCATATTCAGACTGAGTTACCCACCGGCTTCTCAAGCCCAGAGACCTACTGTGCTTGCAAAGGTAATTTGCAATGTGCTTACAGAACTATAACCGTAATAGACTCTGGATAAGGGCTGGAACAATGTCGCTGAAAAATAAATGTTACCAGGGACCTGGAGAGGAGGTATGGTGATAGCAGAGGAATGGAATGAGCTTGGAATTCAAAGACACACAACACCTAACAGCAACGTGATGACTCCTCTAGTTCTTATTTTCAGAGTAAAAGAAGCAGGAGGTGCACCTGTAGATTCAGGTGAAGGTGCGTAAGGAGACTACACAGCCATGGGTAACACCCTTACAAGGAAATGGTCATGTTATCTGTATGGTGGTGTCACTCTGGCTGAATGTCAATTAAAGTGGTTACTTAAAAGGCCATTCACATTCACCTGATAGGGCTGGGAGTCCCGTGGGCGAGAGGTGGGGAGGGGATTCCTGCTTACCTTGAAATCTGAGCTCTGCACCAGGAAGCAGAGGTCAAAGGGCATCCCCTTCTGGAAGGGCATGTGCATCTTCCTCTCCTCGGGCCCCCATGTTCCTTTCTGCCTCGTGTTGCACACCACATACCCTCCGTCTTCAAACCGAGGGTTGAAGTGGAAGGCAATGTCGTTTCCACTGAAGCCCGTCTGAAAGTCCACAGCAAACCTAGGCCCAGGAAAAGCAAATAGTCTTCTGTGGCATGGATTATTGCCAGTGACAGGCACAGGAGGGCCTCGGTGCCTCTGCCCTGTGTTTGTCTGGGATCTTGCATACAACCTGCGTGGCAGAGACTGCTTGGTTGGCATCCTTTTTGTTTCTCTAATTTGGATCCAATGTGTTTTTGTGCGATTATTGCATTTTGCCTTTACAGCACGATTTTCTAAACATAAGTAGAAAATGGCTAAGGGAAAGTGCTGGCATTAGCAAACAAGAAGCATAGGTCCTGGAAAGTGATTACCAGTTGGTAACAAAGATGGAAGTTGTTAAGCACACCTAGAAGAGAGAGGCTTCTGTGCCAGTGGACACTTGTTGGAGGCCAGCACATGCCTGATTAAGTGCGAAAGAAGAGAACAAATGTAAAGAGCATGTGAAATCGGGGCCGGGCGCAGTGCCTCACGCCTGTAATCACAGCACTTTGGGACGCCAAGGTGGGTGGATCACTTGAGCCCAGGAGTTGAAGACCAGCCTGAGCAACAGAGCGAGATCTCATCTCTACTTAAAAAACAAAAAGATATATATATATATTTAATTAGCTAGACATCATGATGCATGTCTACAGTCCCAGCTGCTCTGGGGGATGAGATGGGAGGATCCCTTGAGCCCAGGAAGTCGAGGCTGCAGTGAGCTATGATCGTACCACTGCACTCCAGCCTGGGTGAAAGAAAAAAGTCCCTGTCTCTAAAGAAAAAAATAAATTAATTAAATGAATAAATGGAGAAGATTGCATTTGAAATATCACTGCATGTATTTTTTTCCTTTGGAGACCTTCAGCTTCATTCCTGTGGCCCTTTGGAAATTCCTGCCCCAAGGAAGGGAGAGACAGAAAGCTCCTGAGAGGAGAGGGCCCTCTGAGGTAGGATCTGTCTCCGTGCAACAGGATGGGAGTGGGAAGCCCTCCTGGTGCTGGGAGGTGGGGGAAACAGAGGGAGAGGGAAAGAGGAAGGGGTGGAAGATCAGAGGCATGGTTCTGATTCCCCCGGTTGGAGGATTCAGGGGGATCAGGGCCTCCCTGCCCTTGGCATCTCCTGGGGGCACTGCAGGCTCTCAGAGAAGTCCGACAGCAGGATGGCAATGGCGGAGGAGGTCATCAAGAATCTAGGTGGCGGAGCTGAGGTTGAGCTGGCATCTACGAGGCCCAGAGGGTCTTAAGAGAGGTCCGCTGGGACTGAGGCAGAGAGGCTTCCGAGAGAGAGCCATGAGTCCAGAGGCTCTTCTGTGGGCCCCGCAGACTTCAGCAGGCAGCCACCCGTGGTCCCTCACTAAACCAGGAGAGAGCTGCACACCTCTGTGCCACCCAGTCAGGATGCCTCGGCAGGGGTCAGCCAGGCCTGCGTGAGGGTCGGGGGCCCTCCCAGCCACTGACAAGCCACGTGAGCTCCTCTCTGTTCCCAGACAGCCCACCTTGGGAGGGAGGAAGGGGTGGGAAACAGCCCTGATACAATGTTAGTATTTTGAATGGACTTAGTAGTTTCCAGAAAAGGCCTTGAAACCGAAAGAGACCAAATTACTTCGGATGTCAATTTTCAGTATTTTCATGTCAGCAGAAGGAGAGCTTCAGAGTGGATGAGAGCAGTTATGGGAAACGGAGGAAGTTTGATTTTTGCAACTCTCAGTCACAGTGTGCAAGGTTCAGCCCAGAACATAATCATCCAACTCTGACCATCCCACTCCTTCCTTAGACCTTCAGCTCCCAGGGCCCCATTCATCCTGGAGTCCAGGTTAATGGCATCCCTGGGTGCAGGTTGTGCCTGTGGAGTGCTGTCCTGTGGCATGGGTTAAGGATGCATTGGGTCTCCCCTGCGCCAGGCACGTGAGCTTGGATGTTGTTGTTTGAACTAGCCGAGGCTCACAGGCACAGTGGCTTTACTAAGGGACGAGGCTGGAGTGAAACGTTTCCATCCATATACACACACCTGGTTCCACTGCAGCTGAGAACGGCCCCATTGACAGTGATCTGAAATCCGTCCTGGAGACCCCCTTGGATAGTCCCAGAAAAGGGGACGGCCTGCAGGGAGAAGACATGGGGCCTCAGTCAGGTGGCCGGCCTCCTGTTTGCTCCCCTTCGGGGCTAGTCAGTGGCTGGCCTGGGTGTGACCGCACCATGCGAGGGGCTAGGGTGCAGCTGTGACCAGGACAGAAGGAGTCTCAGCCCCACGGGTCTTAGGGTCCTGTGTGGAGGCAGACACAAATCCAATTAGTTACTCAGACAGTCTAAGCTTGTGATAAGGAGAATCCTGGCCCTGAGAGGACGCGACAGGGAGCTGAGCTTGTGTGAGAGTCTGAGAGGCAGCGGAGGCCACACCAGGAACGCTCCAGGCGGAAGGCCTTCCTTCCAGGCAGGGAAGTAGCAGGCAGACGCCCTGGGCTGGTAAGGAACTAGGTAGCAATGGGGCTGCTGGACCCCATGCCAAGCTCCCAGCAAAGTGCCCAGCGCCCTGGCTGGGGACTCAGGAGGCCCAAGGGAACAAAGGGGCCCATCAAGGGTCTGCAGGTTCCACCGAGAGGGTCACCAGAGAGTGTCAAGAAGAAGGCATGCACCTCTCCCCACCACCACCATATAACAATGGCCACCGTGACCTTTGCCCTCCTGACCACCTTCAGCAGAGCCTCTTCCCAGATGCCCTCCGCAGCCCCGAGCCCCAGCGTAGTTTCCCCACCCATCCCAGGCCCCGTGGGCAAGCACTTTGTCAAATTCTCTCTTCCGCGCCTCTTTAAAGGAGCTATGGGCCATGGTGAGGCATGCATCGTTTTGGAGTCAGGCCGACTCCAGGTCTGAATCCTAACTCTGCTGCTCCTGACCTGAGTGGCCTTGGGAAGCCTATTTCACCTCTCTTTGCCTCAGTTTCCTCATCTGTAAAATAGGAAGGTGTTTCTCCTACTGCATATGATTGATGATTTTGTGAGAAAAAGCCTGTGGTAGAAGAGACTGGCACAGAGGAGACGCTTCACCACTGTCACCCACCCCCCACCTTGGTCTCTCTGAGCAAAATTCACAAACTGGTACTTCCAATTTTCAAAGTTTATTCCGAAATGCCTCATATCCGGTGTGGTTCTATAACCTGCATTAAAGCACAGTTCTATCTCATGGCTGATTTTCACATTCTTCAAGTTTTTAATGTCTTCTCTAATATCTCCTTTAGGTCAATTTCCTACACAAATTAAATGCCTAAAGAAGCCAGGCAGGTGATGTGTATGAGTCAGATGGCCAGGTAGGGAGTGGTGGGGACTGTGGCAAAGTAGACGTCACACGCCTCATCTAAAAAGTCAACATCTTCTCAGCACTAACCAATGATTACCGTCTGGGCTTAGTATTGGCAGAACTTCCAAATTTTTAAGATGAGACAGAAACCTGAATTTTTTTTTTTTTTTTTTGTAAAACTTTCTAATTTCTTGGGGGAAATCTTTTGTCAAAAAGGATTATGTAAAAGTTCCTGACTGGGCACAGTGGCTCACATCTATAATCCCAGCATTTTGGGAGGCTGAGGTAAAACAATCACTTGAGCCCAGGAGTTTTAGGCCAGCCTGGGCAACATAGTGGGACCCCCATCTCTACAAAAAATAAAAAAATTGGCCAGATGTGGTGGTGCACACCTTTAACCCCAGTTACTTGGGAGGCTGAGGTGGGAGGATCACTTGAGCCTGGGAGGTCGAGGCTGTAGTGAGCCACGATTGCACCACTGCACTCCAGCCTGGGCAACAAAGCGAGACCCTGTCTCAAATGAAACTCCCCAAATTCCCACATTGTAGAGATACACAATGAAATATTTACAATGGAATGAAATCTCTGGATTTGCTTCCGCATATCTGAAGGTGGGAAGAGAAGCAAGCGAGGGAGGGTATAGGATGAAGCAAGATAGGCCTGAGTTGATCATTGTTGGAGCAGAGTGATGGGTGTGTGTTGTTGATGGTACAATTCTCTCTGCATGTTTGAATTTCCTATAATAACAAGTTAAAATAAACACTGTGCAGGCCAAACAGAAAACACCCACTAGCCAAATTCAGCCTACTGGTCACTGCTTTCTGGTCTGTATTGTTGAGTTATGTGACCACACAGCACCCTGGGAAACCCATCCTAGCTCAGTGTACACACCTGGCACCGTGAAAGCCCCAGGCAATCTGAGATCTGATCCAGATAGTCTCTGCTCCCCATGGATTTGAGGGGGTTGTCTTTTCTTGCCCCTCAGGTCAGGTCTGAACTCTGCCATTAAATACTTTGGTGACCTCAAGCAAATCACAGCTTCTCTGTGTCTCTGACTTCTCTTTCTTGTCCCTGTCTACACCAGCGGTGTGGGGGAAGGAGAGTCAGCCTGATCCAGTTATGGGCCAGCATGGGCTAGGATTGGGAAGCCTGTTGTCCCTGAAACGCGTCTGTGGAAGATTTTTCCCCTTGCCTGTTTGTGGCAGCCTGTGATTCCCTCCAGAGCCTTTCATTCTATCATGAGAGACAACGCTGAAAATACACACCCTCCTGGGAAGCATGCGGCCTCCACTCAAGCGTATTCACACCACAGCACCTAGAATTGAAGGCAGAGAGTGATGGACATGGGCTCGCAAGTCCACACAAGGCTTAACTAAGGAAGCCAGGAGGGAGAAAGACCAAGTACAGGTCATGGGGGCAGGACAGGGCAGGCTAATCTCCAAGGCAACAAGTTCCCCAAAAAAGTTCTGTGAGGTTTCAAAATGTCTTAAATGGCACCCCCAATTTCTGAAAAACAAGATTATTTTATTATTTATTTTATTTTATTTTATTTTGAGATGGGTTCTCACTCTGTTGCCCAGGCTGGAGTGTAGTGAGGAGTGTGATCATGGATCACTGCAGCCTCCACCTCCTGTGCTCAAGTAATCCTCCCACCTCAGCCTCCCGAGCAGCTGAGACCAAATAAGTGCAGGCCACCAAGCCATGCCCCACTAATTTTCAAATTTTTTTGAAAAGACCAGGTCTCGATATGTTGCCAGGGCTGGTCTTGAACACCTGGGCTCAAGTGATCCTTCTGTCTTGGCCTCCCAAAGGGCCGGGATTTCAGACATGAACCACTATGCCTGTCCTGAAAAATGAGATTTTAAATTGAATATCATCCAACAAACAAGGTTATTCATTGCAGCATTATAACACAAAGGATTATAAAGCAAAGCATTGGAAGGAGCCTAAAAGTCTTCCAACAGGGAAAAGGTGAAATAAATTAGGGTATTTCCATATAATAGAATAAGTTCTGTGTAGCTTTCAAAAGAAAAGAAAAAGAAGACGGAAAAGAAAAAAGAAAAAGAGGAAAACTCTGAGCACCGATATGGAATAATGCCATTTGCATAAAAAGTGGGTAGGGGAAGGCTATGGACTTGCATTTATTTATTTATAGATAAAATATCTCTGGAAGGATTTACAAGAAACTTATAATACTGGTTATCAGTGGGCGACCCCCCAGAAACATCCACATTCGAATCCCCGGAAACTGTGAATATGTTGTAGAAGGGACTTTGCAGATGTGATTAAATGCATAATTTTGGCATGGGGAGATTGTCTTGGATTATACAGGTGGTCCCAATGTAATCACAAAGGTCCCATAAAAGGGAGCAGGAGGATCAAAGTCAGAGGTAAGAGATGTGACAACAGAAGCAAGAAGCTGGTTTTGGGGGTTTTGTTTGTTTGTTTGTTGTGTTTTTTTTTTTTTTTTTTGAGACAGGATCTCATTCTGTCACCCAGGCTGGAGTGCAGTGGCATGATCTCAACTCACTGCAGCCTCCACTTCCCCAGGCTCACGCGATCCTCCCACCTCAGCCTCCCAGGTAGCTGGGACTACAGGCATGCACCACCATGCCTGGCTAATTTTTGTCTATTCTTTGTAGAGACACAGTCTCAGTTTGTTGCCCAGGCTGGTCTCCAACTCCTGGGCTAAAGAGATCCTCCTGCCTCAGCTTCCCAAAGTGCTGGGATTACAGGCATGAGCCACTGCACCCAGACAAAGCTGCTGGTTTTAAAGATGGCAGGAGGGGTCATAAGCCAAGGCAGGCAGGCAGCCTCTAGAAGCTGGAAAAGCAAAAGAAACAGATTCTCCCCTGGAGCCTCCGGAAGGAGACAACCTTGCTCACACGATGATTTTAACATCTGCCCTCCAGAATCATTAAGAAAGCAAATTTGTTGTTTTAAGATTGGCCAGCCAAGGCTGCTGTGGAATTTAGATCCGTGTGTCCAGGAAACCCAGGAAAACAACTGGACCTACTTTTGCTCCGTAGGGTGCAGGAGGATGGATTTTTGTGTTGGATTTGTGGTCCCATGGGCCTGGGCTCGCCTCCCAGCTCTGTACACTAGCAATTCTGACACTGGCCAAGTCACTTGACCTGCCTGTGCCCCACTTCCCTCCTCTGAATGGCAGGGCAGTAACACCACCCGACAGTGTTCTGGAGAGGACTGGAAGCAATGCTGTGTGCTGAGTCCCTGGCTGGCAGCATTCTGGAGAGGACTGGGTGGAATGCCATGTGCTGAGCCCCTGGCTGGCAGCGTTCTGAGAGGACGGGGTGCGATGCCATGTGCTGAGCCTCTGGCCCATGTCGGCCTTGACAGTGCAGCTCTTTGCATGGAACAAATCAATCCCTCTGCTGAGTCAGAACTTACTCTCTGTTCCTGGTTGTGCCCAGAGACCGGGGACTTTCCCTCTTCTTCCTACCTGGAAGTCAAAGCAGAGCTGAGCCCTGCGGACCAGAATGTGGGCAGCCTCATTCTGGACTCAGCATCACCAGAGGACACCAAGGCCTGGCCCCAGGAGTAGGGAGCTCAGCCTGGCTGGCCGAGACTGCCTGCCAGCTGGAGCCAGTACGTGGCCCTTAGCCAAAGTGCCCTGTTGCCTCAGAGGCTCCACGGTCCTGCTGGCCACCTTTCATGACACTTTGATTTTAGCCTTCTGACCTCCAACACTGTAAGCACAAATGTGTTGTTTTAAGTTGGCCAGCTAAGGCTGCTGTGGCATTTGGATCCATGTGTGTCCATGAGGGCTCTGGGGGTGACCGGGAACATTTATCCTCACAGCAACCCCGGCCACTTTTACAGATGAGGAAACTGAGGCACAGAAAAGTTCAGTCACTTGCCCAAAGCTACACAGCTGGTCGGCAACAGAGCTGGGATTTGAACCCCAGCACCCACGCTTCTAACCACCACACAGGCTTCCTCTCATGAGGAAGCTCGGAACGTCCTTATTCCTGGCTCTCGCAGTGCTTCCTGGGCCACACAGCAGGTGGTTCCAGCTTCCCCCCAGCCCTCCAAAGAGGCTGGGCTAGATGAGGCCAGACAAGAAGTGGGAGTGAGGTTTCCAAGCCAGGCCCTCATGGCACTCAGCCCTCCTCAGCAGGACATGAACCGCGTGACCTTCCCCCACTGTCGGCATGTGGAGAAAGCGTGACTCCGACTGCCAGATGGGTCACCGAGTGAGGCTCAAGTGTCCCAACCCAGGGGAGCCCCCGTAGGGTAGAGGGGAGCTCTGGACACCTGTGGGGGCTGCACTGATCGTCTTTCTTGTCTGAGCTCCAAGGCCCCGCTTTAACTCTCTCAAACTCTCTGATGTGCATAGGAGGATTTTCCTTCTGAATCCAAAGATTAGAAAGTAAAAACCAGTTACCAGAATAATAATATGTCAGAACCTGGAAGAAGCTCTGGGATCCCCTCTCTGACAGAAAACCAGAAATGGGGTGACATGCTCAAGGTGGCACACGCTGACCCTAAGGCTCGCCCAACACCGGCAGCCCATTCCAGCTTCCCCCACTCCCTCTATGCAGGTTCTACCTTGGGGGCTTCCATAGGGTGGCTGAGGGGTCATTGGTGACAGCCAGGAGGAAACAGGCCTCCTTTCTCCATTCTTCCTCTCTGGAGTCTAGAAAGCAGAGCTGAGCTCTGCAGACCAGAACATAGGCAGCCTCATTCTGGACTCAGTATCACCAGAGGGCACCCAAGCCCAACCCTGGCCTCTGCTGAGGTGGCCCCTGGCAGCTTCCCTGCCCTCAGCACCCTGCCTCTGCCCACCCTCCCCATTCTGCCTCCCCACTCAGGAAGGGCCCATCAGCCCACCCACTCCAGCCCCTCGGGAAGCTCTTTGCCAAGGCAGGGTGAGATCCTGTGACAGGACCCAGCCCAGGACACAGTCACCCCTGAAGGCTCCTGGGCTCCTGGGGCTGCCACTCCCATCTGGGGGCATTTGGCAACTGGCCTTTGCCTCCCTGAACCTTGGATTTTCCGTGAATGAAGGGGACTCATAAACCTCACAGAGTTTCAGCAAGGCACCTGCAGCCCTCTGACCCCACACTGCAGGGACAGTCCCTGCCTCCGTCACCTCTGAGACTGTCCGTCTACAGATGCCCTGACATGCCTATGCCTGGTTAACTCCGCCTCACCCTTCAGAGCACAGACACCTCCTCGGGAGGCCTTCCCTGCTGCACCCAGACTCCCAATAACATGAAACACTCCCAAAGCACCTACAGTGTGTCAGGCACTGTTCAAACACTCTAGATACACTACTTCCTTAATCCATATCCCAACCCTGGGAGTGGGGGGCTCAAGTATTATTCCCACTTCACAGATATGGAAACTGAGGCCCAGAGACCACCAGCCAGTAAATAGCTGGACCCAGGGAGGCCAACTCCACAGTACGCACCCTTAACTACCATGCCGGGTAGCATCCTTACTGTCCCAGAAGCATGCTTGCTTCCTCTTTACACAAACCATCCCACTCTACACCTCTTCCCCTGAGCGCACAGGACAGGACAGGACAGCTCAGCCAACACTGTCAAACCCATGACTCATGGGAGGAGCATCTCTCCAGGCATGAGTGAGCTCAGCATGGCACAGCTGTGCCAGGACGACCCCCACTGACATTTCTGCCCTGCTTGTGTTCTCTTTGGGATGCCCCCACCCCTATCTCCTGCCACCCAGGAGTTGCTTCCTCAGAGCCCCAGAACTGTGTCCCCCTGGCTGAGGCAGCCCTGTGCCCACGGCCCCGGAACTCACTGGGCTCAGATAGGGAGCCTGGCAACCGCTGAAGGCCATCTCTCCACCGCCTCTGTGGCCACCACTGCCTTTGACACCTGCCAGGCAGTCCTTTGCAGAAGGAATGACTTAACAAAGTAATAGAAACCAAAGCAACTTGGCTGTTATTCAATGGGGAGGAGCCGGCAGCAAGAGGAAGTGGGTCCAGAGAGAGAAAGGTAGGGTGTTGGGTGAACTGGGGTGACACTCATAGAGGGAAGTAGGCACTCCCAGCCCCAGTGACCTTTCCCTCCTCCCTCTCCTGTGCTCAACCCAAGCCTGAAGCATATTTGGTTCATAGAGGTCTACAATGCTTGACCACACTGACATGACAGTGAGTTGCCAGATGACACTGCCCAGAAGTATGTGGCTGTGTGTCCTAAGCATGCTTGGCCACTGGTTCCAGAAAATAATGGGGCTGGGTATTGCCTGTGCACAGGGTGCTTGTGGGGAAGGGTGGCTTCAACTCATTTTACATATAGAGAAGCTGAGGCTCAGAGTCTGAGGGACATGCCCCAGGTCACACAGCTAATTCGTGGCAGCCTGAGCTATATGAAGATTCTCAGAATCTTCAAGAAGTATTTCTCCTCTTTAAATTTCTATTCTTCATGTTAAAACATAATTATGTAGAAGGGAATATTTTGCATGAAAAACACTATAATGAAGATTTTTATTCTAGAGTATGGGGTGCCCAGGAGCTTCTGATCCTCCCCCTCAGTGAATCTCTCTTTCTTCTCTTCTCCATCCTTATTTTGTGAGCTTTAGGATGGGGAGAGAAGTATTGGACATAATAGAACATTTCAAGTGACATGGGAGTGGGAAGGAACATATGGCATGAACTGCCTTTAATTGGCTTCAGCACCTAGTTAGGGGAAATAATTGGCTGAAACAGAGAATAACAGGATAGGCTGCAGAGGGGAGAGGGAGCCATGAAATAAACTTACCTGAAGTTGACCAGGTCCCAACGATGTGCTGGCGAGAAGGCCCAGAACTCAAGCTGGGGATGGGCGGGTAAGGACCATACAGGCTCGAGGGGATGGCAGGTGCCCCAGGGCCATACGTAAGTCTGCACCTCTCTTCCTTCCTGTGTTCTGCCTAGATGCACTAGAATTTGCAGACGAACTCCTTTGAGATGTTCCCATAGACTGAGGCCGTGTGTGTCGTCTGCACTCACCATCCCATTATGTTCTGGATCAAGTAGAATTTGACCAAGTTAAGGAGTAGACAGTACAAGGGGAGCAGAAAGGAGAGAAAAGAAGGGAAATTCTTTGCAATCCTCTCGAATACCAGGAATATTTTCATCACGTCACGTCATTTGTAGCAATCACCAATTGATTGGGATATGGAACAACTGGAACTATCATTCATAGCAGACTTGAGTGTAAAATAATCCAACTTAGAAAAATGGGCAGGGCGTGGTGGCTCATGCCTGTAATCCCAGCCCTTTGGGAGGCTGAAGTGGGAGGATCACTTGAGTCCAAGAAGTTGAGACCAGCCTGGTCAAGATAGGAAGACCCTGTCTCTACATATAATTTAAAAGGCAAATTAGCCAGGTGTGGTGGTGCACACCTGTGGTCCCAGCTATGTGGGAGGCTGAGGTGGGAGGCTCACTTGAGCCCAGGAGGCCGAGGCTGCAGTGAACCCTCATCACGCCACTGCACTCCAGCCTAGGTAACAGAGCAAGACTCTGTCTCAAAAAATAAAAAAAATAAAGAGAAAGAAAAACTGCTTGGTGAGTTGTAATATAGTCAAATATCTACTTCAAAGTTGCTGGCTTTTCTACTTCTGAAAAATTACCCAAGAGAAAGGAAAACATATTTGTCTGTTTTTAAAAGCTTTACTCGTCATAGCCCCAGGCTGGTAACAATGCAAATAGTCACCAACAGAAGAAGGGAGAAATGAATTGTGGTTTTCACACTACAGAGTGGCCCTCAGCAATAAAAAGGAGCTAGGCCACAGGAAACGTCAATGAGCCTTGCAACTGAGCGGAAGAAGCCAGATCCAAACAGACACATGCTGTGAGAATTCCATTCGAGTCAAGTTGAACAACAGGCTAGAGTGGCGTTACCCTTGGGAGTCACTGACTGGGAGGGGCACGAAGGAGTCTTCGAGAGGCTGGAAATGTTCTGGATCTGGTTCTGGGTGGTGGTCCCACAGGTGTTTACATCCATTAACAACAGGCTGAGGCTGGGTGCAGCAGCTGACACCTGTAATTCAGCACTTTGGGAGACTGAGGCAGGAGGATTGCTTGAGTCCGGGAGTTTGAGACAAGCCTGGGCAGCATAGCAAGACCTTCTGTGTACTAAAAATCAAAAAAATTAGTGAGGCATGGTGGTGCATGCCTGTAGTCCCAGCTACAGGGAGGCTGAGGCAGGAGTATTGCTTGAGCCTGGGAGGCTGAGGCCACAGTGAGCTATGATCGTGCCACTGCATTGCAGGTTGAGTGACAGAGCAAGACCCTGTCTCAAAACAAAACAAAACAAAACAAAACTCAAACAGAAAACCAGGATCTGTACATTTTATTCTACCTAGACAATATCGCCATAAAATACTGCTAAAAGAAAAAATCTCCCAGAGCCCAAGGAGACACAGGCACAGCTAAGAGTTCCAGCAGTTTAGCACCTTAGCATCACCTTGAGCCTTGGAGGTGAGTCACAGTTAAGCAGCTTCACTAGTGAGTCCAGCCCATAAAGGAGGGCCCTCTGCTCCATGCCCTGTCTGGAGGGGCCCCAGTAAGGTCATACCCAAAGGCTGACATGTTTTTAGACTAATCAACACAGTAGGGAGGCACTTCGAGGCACAGTGCCAGGCCACTGAGAGTTCTGACTTCGGCACCCTTCAGTCACCACAATCCATTCCCAGTGGTTAGCTCTGGTCTTCAGGAGACTAGAAGCAGCCCTCGGGAATGTTCGTGCTCAGAGCTCTAGTGTTCAAAGTCACAGACCCTTCTCAGAGGCTCTCTCTTCTCTGCCCTATAGACTGAGGGAGTCTGCCACCTCACACTCATTAGGATGCCTATGATTAAAAAAAAAATCCAGAAAATAACAACTGTTGGCCAGAATGTGAGTAAACTGGAACCCTGTGAAAACAGCGTGGCTGTTCCTCAAAAACCTCATCATAGAATTACTATATGATCCAGCAATTCCACTTCTGGGTATATCCCCCAAATAACCAAAAGCAGGAACTCAAAGAGACATGTGAACACCCACGTTTGTAGCAGCATCATTCACAAAAGCCAAGAGGTGAAAGCAACACGTGTCCATCAACGGATGAGTGGTCAGCAAAATGTGGGCCAGACATACAATTCAGCCCTAAAAAGGAAGGAAATTCTGGCATATGCCACAACATGGATGGTCCTTGAGAACATTAAGTGAAATAAAACAGCCATAAAAGAACAAGCACTGTAGGCCGGGTGCGGTGGCTCACACCTGTAATCCCAGCACTTTGGGAGGCCAAGGTGGGAAAATCACCTGAGGTCAGGAGTTCAAGACCAGCCTGGCCAACATGGTGAAATCCCGTCTCTATTAAAATTACAAAAAGTAGCCAGGCGCGGTGATGAGTGCCTGTAGTCCCAGCTACTCGGGAGGCTGAAGCAGGAGAATCGCTTGAACCTGGGAGGCAGAGGTTGCAGTGAGCTGAGGTCACACCACTGCACTCCAGCCTGGGCAACAAAATGAGACTCTGTCTCAAAAAAAAAAAAAAAAGAAAAAGAAAAAGCACTGTATGATTTTACTTGTCTGAGATACCTAGAGTGGCCAGAATCAACAAAAGAAAGTAGAATGGTGGTTAGGGGCTGGTAGGAGGGGGAATGAAGACTTATAATTTAATAGGCATAGAGTTCTGGTTTTACAAGATGAAAAGAGTTTTGCGGATGGATGGTAGTGATAATTGTATAACAGCATGAATGTTCTTAATACCACAGGTCTACCACTTAATATTGGCTCTTGGCTAAGATCTTAGCTGAGGCCATTGACTGGAACACCTGCAAGTGGCTTTTCCACATGGCTTGGGCTTCCCCACAATATGGTGGCTGGAGTCCACGGGTGAGCATTCCCAGCGAGAGCCAGGTGGAACTTACATCCCTTTTATAACCTAGCCTCAGAAGCCATCCAGTGCCATTTCCACCACATTCTATTTGTTGAGGCAATCACATGAGCACCACCCAGGCTCAAGGGGAGGGGAAAGTGACCTCACCTCTAGACAGGAGGCAGCAAGAGGTTGAAAGAGCACCTGGGACCAGGAATATTTGGAAAATTCAATGCCTGCCGCAGACAATAAGTAAGTGCTGGACTCCTCTGGGCACTGGGGTACAGAGAGAATTGGACATAGTCCCAGCCTTAAGCATCTCATATTCCAAAGGGTAAGATGGATATACAGCTGGGCTACATGGCTTCAAGGAGGAAGTGCACACAGATTTTTTTTTTTTTTTTTTGAGACAGAGTCTGTCTCTGTCGCCCAGGCTGGAGTGCAATGGCGCCATCTCAGCTCACTGCAAGATCCCCCTCCAGGGTTCAAGGATTCTCCTGCCTCAGCCTCCTGAGTAGCTGGGATTACAGGCACCCACCACCACACCCGGCTACTTTTTTGTATTTTTAGTACAGACAAGCTTTCACCATATTGGCCAGGTTGATCTCGAACTTCTGACCTCAGGTGATCCACCCACCTCGGCCTCCCAAAATGCTGGGATTACAGGTGTGAGCCACCGTGCCCGGCCAAGATTTTTTGTTAAAGTTAATATAGTTGGTTATGTGCTGGACATCATTCTAGGTGTCTTACAATTAACTTTATGTCAGTTTTATGAAGCAGGCACAAATAATAATCCCCATTCTACCTGGAAAGAAACAAAAGCACGGAGAGGTGAAGCAACTTGCCCACAGTCACACAGCGGCAAAGTGCCAGAGTGGGGACTCAGCCCGGGCAGTCCCGCAATGGAGTCTGTGCTGCTCACCACGGCACCACCCCACCTCTCTTCTCAGATGCCCCCTCATGGGATGGACCTACTTTCACGGACCTCAACGTCTTTGCAGGGAACATGGGCCTGAGTGACTGCACTCTGTCCCTAGGGAGTGAGGAGGGTTCTGCCAAGTGGTTTCATTTTGATCACTGTTTTCTGTGCCTGGGGGGTGGGAAGCCCAGAATGGCACAGCTCAGCTCCTAGTCCTATCAACTCACTCTCATCCAGGGCTGATTCCAGAGGGGTGGCAGGGAATGAGGGGTGGGGGTTGCTCTGCTGAACAGGAAGGAACACTGAGTCCATTCTCTTTTGTATCTGGGGATCCCCAGAGAAGAATGCAACATGGTATGAAAGAGTGGAACGCCAGCTTCTAGGGGAGCCCCAGTGTCCAACAAGGGCACACACTTTGGGAGTCAGCCAGGCCTGGCCCCAATTCCAAGCTCCTTCACTTCCAGGCGGGATGATGCTGTGCAGGCTACTTCACTGCAGTAACCCCCAGTTTTCCCTTCTGTACATGGGGGTGATATTTTCTCACATGACTTCCCTGATGTGAAATGAGAGAACACATGTAAAGCACCTAGCATGATCCTGCCACGTAGTAGGCAGTCAGTGACCATCTCTCCCTTTGGCCAGGCTTCCTGGCATGTGCCGGACCTAGACCCTGTCCCCCAAGGAATCTGACCAACACACTGCAGTGTGGGCTTTCACCTCCCTTGTTTCTACACACTCTACCACCAGTGATGTCACCTAAGATTATTTTATTATTTTGGCAGCCATATCCCTCAGTGGTTCTCATCAACTAAAATCCTACAGTTCTTTCCACAGGTAGCAGCTGCTTCTCAGTGTCCTCCCAGCGGCCATCATAAATGACCTGGCTGCAGTGATAGTTGTGCTGTTACAGAAATATGGAAAATCCCAGGCCACTTCCTGCACACCTCAGGACCTGTTTCCTTCCACACTAAAGGCTTGCTCAATACCCCAACGAAGGAGAGATGGGTAAGATTCAGAACCCAGGCCTCCCGCACCCTCCCTCTGATGAGCCCTATTCCTGAGGCATATTGTCCAGCCATTTGCTCAAGGGAGAAAGACAGTAGATGCTCAGTTCCTACTTGGTGATGAGAAGGTGACTGAGAAGGGTGTGTCTACTTCTTCAGTGCGGCTCTGCCTCCCAGCCTAGAAACTGACTGAAATAACAACCAACAATTTTAAAGGTGGGATGTGGGCGGGAAGTGGAAATCTACATTCACACTGGAAACTAGAGTGTTGTCACGGGCCGTCCACATGCTGCGAGCATTGAACGTGATGCGTTGCCAGAGCTCACGTGGGCTGGAAAGAAGGCATCACCGGGTCACTGCAATCAATGCACAACTTCCCTTCTGGGAATGGACTTAGTGATCCTGGAAGGGAGGTGCAGATCCTGGCTGGATGAGGGCAGCCATCAGGCTTTGAACATTCACTTTATGTGCTAAGTGCTTCACACACTTCATTGATTTGGTCATCACCACAAGCCTGCCAAGTAGCAAGATCCCACTTCCCTTATCAACAAGGAGACGGAGGTTCCAGGAGGTGCAGGAACCCGTAGCGGGGCTGAGGGCTGACTTGGTGTCCCCCATGGACTCAGGGGACTGGGGAAAGGGGAGTTAGTGTTTAATGGGAGTTTCATTTGGAGATGAAAAGGTTCTGGAGATGGATGGTGGTGATGGTTGCATAACAGCGTGAATGTACTTAATGCTAGTAATTTGTGCATTTCCAAATGGTTTAAATGATAACTTTTATATTCTGTACACTTTACCACATAAAAAAGGTGGGGGGAGGAAGGGAATCACTGCTAGGTTGCTGTGGTAACTCTGCAAGTGTATATAAAGGTATCAGGAAGAAAAAGCTAAAATACTCACTTACAGTCTCCCATTGTTTTGCTCCAGAATCCACACACCTGCTCTGTCTCTGCAATGTACATAATTAAAAGAATGCAGGTGCTCGGCCTGATTGAATTGAGCCTGCTTCCCCCTCAACTGCTATTATATTCCAGATGGGATAATGTGGTCAACCCAAAGTTCTGAGTCTGAAGCCTGCCCTTTTTGTGTTAAAAGTGAGATCAGACCCAGGCGTGGTGGTGTGCACTTGTAGTCCCAGCTGCTTGGGAGGCTGGGGCAGGAGGATCGCTTGAGCTTAGGAGTTCCACACAGTAGCATGCTATGATTATGTCTGTGAATAGCCACTGCAGTCCAGTCTGGGTGACAGAAACAGACCCGCATCTCTTAAAAAAAAAAAATGTGGCCAGACATGGTGGTTCACACCTGTAATCCCAGCACTTTGGGAGGCTGAGGAGGGTGGATCATGAGGTCGGGAGTTCAAGACCAACCTGGCCAACATAGTGAAACCCCGTCTCTACTAAAAATACAAAAATTAGCCAGGCATGGTGGCAGGCACCTGTAATCCCATCTATTTGGGAGGCTGAGGTAGGAGAATCACTTGAACCCAGGAGGCGGAGGTTGCAGTGAGCCATTGCACTCCAGCCAGGGCAACAATGCAAGACTCTGTCTCAAAAAAAAAAAAAAAATGCAATCAACACCGGTGGAGAGGAGGTACTGGCATCAACCTGAGCCTTTCTCTTTTAAAAAAATTATTTATTTATTTATTTATTTAATTTATTTTACAGACAGGGTCACACTATGTTGTGCAGGCTGGTCTCAAACTCCTGGGCTCAAGCGATCCTCCAACCTCAGTGTCCCAAAGTGCTGAGATTACAGGCTTGAGCCACCGCACCTGGCCTAGCCTTTCTTCTTGAGGTCATCAGAAGGGTTGAAAGACACTTGAAAATAACATCCTCACTGTGTGATGCCAGGGTATTTAATCCTGCATCTGTGAAGGTAAAGTGTTCTAGCAGACTAGCAGACAGGGTCCGGTTCTCACTGGGCAGCCCTGTTGAGGAGAGCAGGAACTGCAGGGGCTGGGGCTGTCCAATGACCAAGAGAAGAACAATTAGGCAGAGCGCACAGAGCTCAGAGCCCTGCATGTGAGCATGTTGTTCCCCACGTCCCCACCCCAACTCTTGTTGCTTCTCGCTGCACTGTTGGGGGAGACCCCCTTTCTACTGAAGCTCACTGACCCCATGTCAAGCTCCCATCATGGACTCTGGGCCTTGGGGAGAGCCACCGTGGTCTGTGGCGGGTCAGAGCATGTAACTAGAGCACACAGCGTGTGGCAGCCGAAAGCTGGAGGGTGAACATACAGTTGACACTTCCTGATGCTGGGCGTAGCAGCTTGGAATCAGCTCCAGATGCCTCCCAGTGACAGTGGAGCTGTCAGAACCTGCAACTTGGTGGCCTGCAGCCAATTCCAGTCTGCAAACTTGTTTTGTTTGTCCTATAAACTGTTTTAAAAATGTAAGCCAACTTCTGAAAATTGGGAGATTTCACATAAAATTCCACACTTCTAGCATCTCTTAAAAAAAAAAAAAAAAGCTGATGCGGTGGCTCACGCCTGTAATCCCAGCACTTTGGGAGGCCCAGGTGGGCAGATCACTTGAGGTCAGGAGTTTGAAACCAGCCTGGCCAACATGGTGAAACCTGGACTCTACTAAAAATACACAAATTAGCTGGGCTTGGTGGTGTACTCCGGTAATCCCAGCTATTTGGGAGGCTGAGGGAGGAGAATTGCTTGAACCCAGGAGGTGGAAGTTGCAGTGAGCTGAGACGACGCCATTGCATTCCAGCCTTGGCAACAAGAACACTCCGTCTCAAAACAAAACAAACAAACAAACAAAAAAACAAACCAAAGACAGAAGAAGTACAATATAACTTTTTAAATTTAATTTAATTTCACAAAGACAGAATTGAATAATGCAACTTATAAAGAATTTTTTTAGAGAACCTCCCTTTTATTAATTTATTTCTGAGATGGGGTTTCACTGTGTTGCCAAGGCTGGAGTGCAGTGGCGTGATCTCGGCTCACTGCAACCTACGCCTCCTGGATTCAAGTGATTCTCTTGCCTCAGCCTCCCAACTAGCTGGGATTACAGCCACCCACCACCATGCCTGGCTAATTATTTTTGTATTTTTAGTAGAGACGGGTTTTCACCATGTTGGCCAGGCTGGTCTCGAACTCCTGATCTCAGGTGATCTGCCCGCCTGGACCTCCCAAAGGGCTGGGATTACCGGCGTGAGCCACCGCACCTGGCCTACTTTTTCTGTCTTTGAATGTCATAGACATTCAAAGGTTGCCAGTGAGAGGCTGGTGTGAAGTGACTCAACAGGACATCTCAAGCCACAGTTCCCGAAGGGATAGCAATGGTGCCGTGAGGGAGGGGTTGTGGTGTCTTCGTTTCTGTCAATGGGGGGAATCTGCTCTCAGCCCCACACCAGTGGGGGAGCTTCCATCTCTACAAAAGGGAGTGGAATAAAAGAATATGCACATCCCAGAATGGCAGTCCCAGGAGAATTCCTGAGGAGAAGGCAGAAAAGGCCCAATGAGCAGGAAACAGGGAGAAACAGGAAGCCACAGGGCAGCCTCCCCAGAGAGAGGGTCCCACTCCTCTCCTGTCCCCTCCCCACCCATCTGGGCAGACCTCATCCCATCTCAGCATAAAGCTCCAACAGCTCTGACCACTCCTGCTCACCGTGACCCATTCTCCACACTGTAGCCCCAGTGGTCTCTCTACCCACGAATGTCTAGTGCCTCCCTCTTCAACCTTCCAGACTCTGTCCTCCTTCATTGTGGATGGAAACCAGGCAGGGCCAGACAGGGCCAGCTGCATGGGCCTACGACCTGTGCAGTCACAGAGGGCCCCGGTGCTAAGGGCCCCACACTTGGTTTAATGCTCTGCTATAACTGCCTTGACATCCTTCATGACACATGACCAAGAGATCCACATTTCCATTTTCGGTGGGCTCTGCAAATATGTAGCCACTTCTGGTACCCAGCCTCACCCACTGGGGATTCATCTTTAAGTCCAGGCTTCGAGGCTCAGGAATGTAAATGAAGTCACATTTCTGTTTAATAACAAAATTACCAGACTTGAAACTCTCACCTCCTTAATCACAGTCTTCAGCCAGGCCCTATTCCTGAGGGTGTCTGGGCCTTCTGGGCCTCCCTTTTGGGAGCCAAGTCTGTTGCACAAACCTGCTGGCTTGGCAGTGTGCCTCAGCCAGCCCAATGGTGCCAGGCTCTGGGCAGCAGACTCAGTGCAGTGCCCAGTCCTCCCCTTGAGCAGGTGGCATCCTACAGTGCCCAGGCCACCTGGCTGAGGTGGGCTCCAAGTTTCTCTGTAGATTTTCTCTCCTGATAGCTAAGGCCATCAGGCAAGATCTGACAATTCTTTAGAAGGTTTAGAGAGAAGATTCTCATGTTTAGCTAACATGCGCTGAGCAGCTCCTACATGCAAGGTGCTGCTCTAAGCACTTTTAGCGCACATTCCAGGAACCTCACCATCACGCTATGAGGGAAGTACTGTTCATGACTGCTGCCTAGTTATTACAAGGAAACTGACGTTCAGGAAGATTAACTGCACCTCACTGGCCACTCCTTCTCATCTTCCTGCTGGGTTTACCTCATTGTCTAACCTCTAAGTGCAGAGGCCCTGGGCAGGCCTCGATTCTCTCCTCCTTTCAGTCCACCTTCTCACCCCTGTTGGTCTTCTGCAACCTCACTCAGCCACCTAATCTATCAAATGACTCTGAACTCCAGATTCCACCTGCCTCTCAGCATCTCTGCGTGGATTTCTAACAGACAAGCTCAAACTCCGTGCATCCAGAACAGAGCTCCTGATCCCCCATCCCCAACTTCCTGCTTCTGTAGGCTTCCCCCATCTTAGACACTTGCTTGACCAAAACCACTGGAATCATTCTTAATTCTTCTCTACCCGAAATCTAATTCATTACCAAATACTGTCAGCTAGACTTTAAAAATATATGCACACACAAAACATTATATGCAGATGCTCCTTGACTTATGATGGGGTTACATCCCAACAAACCCGTCGTAGGCTGAAAATAGGTTAAAAATGCATCTAATACACAACCTATGAAACATCATAGCTTAGCCTAGCCTACTTTACACGTGCTCAGAACACATACATTAGCCTACAGTTGAGCAACATCATCTAACACGAAGCTTATTTTATAATAAAGTGGTGACTATCTTACATAATTTATGGAATACTTTACTGAAAGTGAAAAACAGAATGGTTTTATGGGTACTTGGCATGATTTCTGCTGCATGTATATGGCTTTCATACCACAGTAAAGTCAAAAATTGTAGGTTGAACCATTGTAAATCAGGAAATGTCTGTATGTATAGCTCTATAGATAGATAGATCACAATAAAATTGATAAATTAGACTTCTTCAAAATTCAAAACTTTTGCACTTCCAAAGACATCATTAAGAGAGTGAAAATAGGCTGGGTGTGGTGGCTCACACCTGTAATCCCAGCACTTTGGGAGCCCGAGGTGGGCAGATCTCTTGAGGCCAGGAATTTGAGACCAGCCATGGCCAACATGGCAAAACCCCATCTCCACTAAAAATTCAAAAATTAGCCAGGCATAGTGGCACACGCCTATAATCCCAGTTACTCCAGAGGGTGAGGCATGAGAATTGCTTGAACCCAGGAGGCCGAGGTTGCAGTGAGATGAGATCGTGCTACTGCACTCCAGCCTGGACGACAGAGCAATACTTTGTCTCAAATAAATAAATTAATTAAAAAAAGAAGACTCCTAGGTATCTGGCCTGGGCAGCAGGGTGGATGGTAGCACTGTTTACTGAGATGAAGATTAAAACAGGAGCAGATTGGCGGGTGGCTATAAGCCAGAGTTGAGTTTTTGATGTGAGATGCCTATCAGATGAAAGTGCCAAGGAGGCAGTTATATTCCCAAGTCTGTGCTTAGAGGGAGACCAAGCAGGAGAGAGGACGTGGGAGGGGCACATGAAGATGCTTTACACAGCCAGGAACATGGATGGTGTCACAGGAGACAGTGTAGACAGAGAAGAGATGAGGAAGCAGGACCACCCTCATCAGGACTGAGCCTGTGGGATTCCAGTTTCTCTTTATGAATATTTTCTTTCTCCTCTCCTCTCCTCTCCTTTCTCTTTCTTTCTTTCTCTTTCTTTCTTTCCTTCCTTCCTTCCTTCCTTCCTTCTCTTTCTTTCTTTCTTTCTTCTTTCCTTCCTTCTTTTTTTTTGACAAGGTCTTGCTTGTTGCCAAAATTGGAGTGCAGTGGCAAGATCTCGGCTCACTGAAGCCTTGACTTCCCAGGCTCAAGCGATCCTCCCACCTCAGCCTCCCAAGTGGCTGGGACCACAGGTGCGCAGCACCAGGCCTGACTAATTTCTTATTTTTCGTAGAGATGGGGTCTTGCTATGTTGCCCAGGCTGCTCTCCAACTCCTAGATCCAAGTGATCTTCCCACCTTGGCCTCCAAAGTGCTAGGATTACAGGCGTGAGCCACTGTGCTGGGGCTTGTAAATATTTATTGAGTGAATGAGACATTCTTCAGCCCTAAGTAAAGTTGATGGCCTCCTAAGCGATTAGATTAGAAACTCCCACAGTCAGATGTGGGCAGAAGACAAGGAGGCAGCCTCATAGGCTGAGAGGAGCTGCCAGTGAGGACAAAGAAAGCCTGCTGCACTGGGATGAACCCCACACTCCTTGGCAGAGCGTAGGCTACCCTGGGCCATCTGCCTGCCGCCTTCCTCTCCACTCTCATCTCTTCCTGCCATCCTTGTTTCCTTTTTGGGCCAATTTTAGTATTTTCCCTAATGCATTCTATTGCTTCAGACCTTCACACATGCTGTCCCCTCTCTAGGATTACAAAAGTCACATGAACTCATTATCAGTAAGTCTAACACAATGGAAACACACGACAGAGTAGAAGCGGGCCAGCACCCCTGCTCTCCATTAGTAAGCATTTGCGCTATGCGTTCGCAGATGTGTTTTCTGCGCATATTCTAATGCACTCTCTCTCACACACATGCATGCCAGATTTTCCTCCCTGCCTCCAAAATGGGAAATACCTCCTTTAATGCACGCTTTCTCCTCTTAATGCATTACAGACTCTTTCCACATACATAGACAGCACATACTTGCTTATGCTTATATTTCAGTACAAATGTACATACAGTACATTTCAGTACACAGAGAGGTGCCTTGTTCTTTAAGATACATCTTTACAGTTTGGTTGTATGGATTAATCACAATATATTTAAACAACTGCATTAATAAAGCATTCCCCCATCCCTTTCTTTCTTTCTTTCTTTCTTTTTTTAAACAGGAGTCTTGCTCTGTTGCCCAGGCTGGAGTGCCATGGCATGATATCAACTCACTGTAACCTTCACCTCCCAGGTTCAAGTGATCCTCCCACCTAAGCCTCCCAAGTAGCTGGGATTACAGGTGCCCTCCACCATGCCTAGATTTTTTGTGTGTGTGCATGTATTTTTTTAATAGAGATGTATTTTTTTCACCATGTTGGTCAGGCTGGTCTCAAACTCCTGACCTGAACTGATCCACCTGCCTTAGCCTCCCAAAGTGCTAGGATTACAGGTATGAGCCACTGTGCCCGGCCACACTTTCTTTCTTTTTCTTCTTTTTTATTCCCCCTCTTCACGTCCACTGTGGAGTTGTAACTGGAGACATATTTCCACCCACAAAGCCTCCAGATGTTAAAACGTTTCCCAACGTCAACTTAATACAGTGATGGCAACACCTCCCTCCCGCCCCTCCCAGTAGGGTTGAGATTATACTGTATTCCCTACTGGTTTACCCTTCCCCCCATGAAGGGTAGCATTTTCCCTGGGTGCAGAGGCTCCCTCATAGTCTCCAAGACTGAAGGACCCCTAATTTTGGGACTGCAGCTTAAGTGTATTACATTAAACACCATAAAAAGCTACAAGATGCTCTTTTAAGGGAAGAGGAAACTGGTCAGAGAAATGCCTCCCATTTTCATTGCCAATTTGATTTTTAAATCCATGAAGGATCTTACAGAACATGTCTCTGAGATAATCTTTTGGGTTAATCCATGATGCAACAGCATCACAAAAAAATATAAAATCTTGGATTATGCCATGGGGATTCACACTGATCATGATGCAGATTCCACGGAATGCTGAATCCTTTTCTCATTGTCTCTTATGTTTCTCAGAGAGGTGCACCAGAGTCTCGTAAACTGCTGTAGCATGGGGACCACCTCTTGAGGACAAACATAACCAAGACAACCAATTGTTACTGCTGTATTCTTTAGCAACGTCTTTGGTGTGTTGGGTCTGTTAATGATTTCTACAAGCTGGTGCAACACCATAGGGATATAAGGCTGCATCTCTATACCCATTTGAATGGAGATTTCTCCAATTGCTCATGTGTCATTGTTGCAGACTGAAATGAATTCTGGAGTTAGGTTGGTTCCCAATATTGGCATGAAATCAGCTACACAAGGCTTAACATGCTGAAAGCAAGCTTTTGTGAGGTCACTTAACAGGGCAAAAGAACTCTGTCGAACTTCCGGCATTTTATCCTGCATGCACTGATATGTTAGTGTTAGGATGTTACTTCGGGCTACCAGTTGTTCAATATTGCCTCCAAGTCCTTCAGCCAGGCCACTCAGTAAATCAAGAGCCACTATCATAAAATCTTTATCTGGAGCTTCATATTGATCTGGTTGAGCATTGCTTAGTATGGCTTGTGCAAGAGTCTTCTGTACTAGGTTTACCCAATGCTGATACATAGGTTCACAGTATGGAAGGAAGCCAGACTGCAGCACCGTGGCAACTGAAAATGGACACTCAGGTAAAGGGAAAAGATCTTTATCTTCATCCTTTAACATGTTCCGTTTCTGGATCAGTAGAGGCATTAGCATTTGAATATATTCTGGTTTGTTTAAATGATGTCCTACTGAATCTGCTAATGTCCCTCTGGCATTGTAAAGAATGAGCAGGTTCTTATGCTGGTATTTACTAAATGCAAAGACCAGGGTATCAAGTATATAAGCAAGGTAAGCAACAAGTTCTGTACAAGCCTCCTCTTCTAGGGTAGCAAAGGCACTGCAGGCAGCTTCTGGTACTCTCTTGTTGCTATCCAGGATGCCTTTTAGCAACTCTGTCATTAATGACTTCAGGTACGTGTCTGGTGGCTGGCTGACTACCCAGTGTGCATAGCGGCTAAGAGTCCAGCATGTTATGGAACGGACAAGAGCCTTTTTATCAGAGAAGCACTGAATAAGGTGAGGAATAAGCTCAGGCAAGCAAGGAATCATGCCCTGCATGCAAACCTTCAGCAACTGTTCCTAAACCCAAGATGGCTAATTCTTTAACAACCCATTCATGATGAAAAAGTAATTCTTTCAAAAGGGGCAATATATATGGCAGCAGTTCATCATGATGCACGTTTGCAAGAACATCTAGGGCAGCAACAGATCATTTCCTTAGATTCCAGTCAGAAATTGTATCATCATCATCAATTTCATTATCATCATCATCTTCCTCTTCAATTCCATCTTCATCATGCTGCTGAGCCACTGTCCTTGATCGGTGAAAACGTGGCCATATATCCTGTTCACTATCAGGAATCATTTCGTCTTCTTCAACATCACCCTTAGGTAGGATAATATCTATATCTGAGTACTTCATGCCATTCACTAACACAGGAATCAACCTGGGAAGATGCCTTACGAATACATCTTTGCATACTTGCTGTTCAGCTAAAGTTAGCCAAAATTCACAGGCTTCTAAAGCCACATTTTCATCTTGATCTTGAGTCCTCTGTAGCATATACTCAACTATATTACGCATGTGAGGGAGCAGGCGATCCACTCAAACTTCGAACAACATCACAAGTGCTCGGCACACATTTTTCCATACCTCTGGCTCACCAGCCAATGCAAAGAGATTTCTCAATAAAAGAATCAATGTGCAACATCAGAGCTTGAGTCCTGATGATAAACTGATTGACACATACAACAGCGTGAGACCTTATTTTTGGACTACTGTGCTTGAAGAACTGTAAAAATTTGGGAATCCTGATGTTGAGAGGACAATCTAAAACATCACTATCTAAAATCTCAAAAGAATCTTCACAAATCTTCTGAAGGGTGCCAAATGCTCCCTCACAGGTGGTGTAATCGTCAGAATCCAACAGGCTACAGAGTTTTGGTAAGAGGTCAGGCCAATTCTGCAATTCTCTCTTGGAGGCTATAGCTGTGATCGAAATACCAACAGTGGCTCTAATCAGAAGAGAGGAGTCACCAATATTATTTAAACATTCACTTTTAATGAAGTTTGTTGCACCATTTGGGAAGTTCTGAAAGTGTGCTTTCACATTATTCTTCAAGATGAGACCACGCAATGATCTTGTGGGTTCATCTTCAGATTTTAATTTTGTAAGAACAAAAATCAAGTAGTTGCTAAAGTCTGGATATTGATTAAGTTGTTCCAGTTTCTAGAATTGTTGCACAGTTCTCTGGATGGTGGTGTCTGGGGACTGGGACTCCTTCAATAGCTGCAGGATTTGCTGAAGCCCTTGCTTATCAGATTTCCATTCGTACTCCACCTTGGTTTGCTGGAGTGCCCCAAAGGAAGTCTCGGACAGTGAAACCCAGTGGAACTGCTCCTGGCAGCCCAGCCGCCGACGTCTGCTGCTGCTGCCACCACGGCTACAGAGCGCAAGGAGCCAACCAGACTGAGTCCGATTTGATGTGTATCCTTGTTTGATGCCCAGGTTGGAAGCATGTCACAATGAGTCAACTAAGCAATAACTAGAATATTATTGATTCCAGAAAGCTTTCTCTTATTTTAACTCTGTATTTCAGAACTTCAAGGTCTACGAATAGTTACCCACCTATAAAATGAATTCAATTTAACTAAATCCTAGTATTGTGAAGAATTAGTTTTTCGCCATTTCTGTTTACTCTTATACTAACTGAAAGACTGTCTCACCACAATGCTTGATGTAAATGGTCTGATCGGTTAGTGACAACCTCATTAATTATTGCAGCTTGCAAAGGGATTGATTTTTAAATTTTTACTTATTAATTATATACGTGCTTATTTGTTTTCTCATTTACTTGCTTTCTTATTTATTTGGTTATTATTTACTTACTTTCCTGTTGTTTTAAAAGAGGATTCTAATTAGATATTATCTAAGTGATTTTGCCAAGTTCTTACATTTTGTTGGTTTAAATTGCTTTAAGATATATGCTTGAAATCATGTTTATTCTTGAAATGTGTGCCATTTGCAGTGTGTGTGTGAAGGGAAATGAGTTATTTTTTAAAGGGAAATGAGTTATTTTTTAAAAAGAGAATTATTTAGATATGGTTTTAGTGATTCCTCAGCATGATAACTGCTGATGAAATGTAGCTTATTGTTTTCAGCTAGTTTACATTGGTCTTGAGACAAACAGAATTTTGTTTCTTAATTACAGGCTCTAGATGAGTTTATAGAACACCTCAGGGCTGTTATCAAGTACTTAACATACGAAGGATAACTCCATTTGATTATATATTTCATACCCCAAAGGAAAATAAGTTTAAATTTAATTTTAACTAGATGATGCCGTCGGTATGGAGTCACTCTGTCGTTGTGTCCACACTGGCCAGGAGGCGTTTTAATGAATGGTGTTTGTTTATTCAGTCTTAGCCAAATGAGCAAGGACCTGGAGACTGGGCAATTTGAGAAGATGTTTAGGAACCACTGGCTTTTCGCTGTTGACGCCACTATGTAAACTAAGGCTGACAGTGGGTAGGGAATGTGTGTGGAATTCCTGTGTGATTCACTGTAACTGTGGTGTGCTGAATGCGTGCTTAAGCTAGTGTCAGCATCGTCTTCCTGTAAGTTAAAGATCCCTTCTGTGAGCAGGACTCCTGAGGACTCAGGAATGTTGTATTTTGAAATCTGCTTTAGAGGATATTTTAAGACTTTTAATAAAAGAAAGATGACTAATGTATAAGGGGACTTAAGGGGAAGAAACACCCTTTCCTCTATAGGGTAGCATATTTGGGATTATAATTTTTGTTTTCTTTAGGTTGGTTTCATTTTCAAGTGAATCCAGAAAACACTGTTTTCTTTGACAATATTGCTATAAAATTACCATAATATGAGGATATGTTGTCAGTCTCAAATATATAAAATGACCAATTTCAGTGAGCATTTATCCTTTTAAGAAAACCTACTCTATTAAAATCCAATTTTGTGCAAAAAGTGGGAAATAAATGGAGACGTAAGTGTTTGCTTTATGAGACTATTTGATTCATGTAAATAGAAAATAGTTTTATTACATGTAAAATATGATTTAAATTGGTCAAAATGTCATTTCCAGAAAGCATACCTTTTAAGCCAGCACTCATTACATAGAACAAGGATTCTATCTGTGTGCCACAAACCACTTCAAATAATTTTCTTTATATGTAATGACATATAAAGAAATATATGTAATGACATGTTCCTTAGAGTCCATCTCAACTCCAATTCCTCAGGAACATTGTCTTTGAGTACAAATTATAATGAGTTTATTTTCTAACTAAAGTATAGTAGTTAGACTAGTTTATTAGCTAGTTTGGTTCTGACCTCTGTGGTTGAGAACAGATACAAGACAAATGCTATTATATCTTCAGATCTTATAGAAAGCAGATAGTGGAAATGATGAAGTGTACCTGGCTGGCTTTCTGACGATTTGTGTGAAATGCTTGGCTTTGTAATTTTACATTTCTTTCTAGTCTGATGCCTTGAGTTTATTTAGATAGAAATGTATTTCTACATGGTTATCTGATTTTTAAAATGCTGCTTCACAGTTGTATACTACTTAAGGTATGTAGCTTTATATTTAATCTAAGTTGGAATTGGGTTTTTGTTATTGTCATTTGGTACATTGGTCAACACTTAATAAATGTTTAACTTTTTGTTTTGAGTTAATTATAGATTTGCATGCAGTTGTAAGAAATAATACAGAGAGGCCGGGTGTGGTGGCTTATGCCTGTGATTCCAGTTACCTGGGAGGCTGAGGCGGGAGGATCCCTTGAAGCCCAGGAGTTCAAAGATGTAGTGAGCTGTGATGGTGCCACTGCACTCCAGCCTGGGTGACAGTGAGACCCCATCTCTACAAAGAAAAACAAAAAGAAATAATACAAAGAAATCTCACGTACGGGCCTACCAAATTTTATTGTGTTTGCTTTATTGCACTTTGCAGATATTATTTTTTTACAAACTGAAGGTTGGTGGCAACCCTGTGTCAAGCAAGTCTTGCGGTGCTGTTTTTCTAACAGCATATGCTCACTTTGTGTCTCTGTGTTCCATTTCAGTAACAGTATTTTAGATGTTTTCATTATTATCATATCTGTCATAGCGATCAGCGATCTTTGATGTTGCTATTGTAATTGTTTACAACCTCAGTGATATAAGAGGATGAACTTAATCAATGTTGTGTATATGTCTTTTTTTTTTTTTTTAAGACAGGGTCTGTCTCTGTCACCCAGGCTGGAGTGCAGTGGCATAGTCACAGCTCACTGCAACCTCCACCTTCCGGTGGAAGATGCCATTTAAGACTTTCATCCTAGAAACGAGAAGTCAGTGCCTGGCTTCAAAGCTTCAAAGGACAGCTGACTGTCTTCTTAGGGGCTAACATAGCTGGTGATGACTTTAAAGTGAAGCCGTTGTTTGTTTACCATCCCAGAAATGCTACAGCCCTTAAGAATTATGTTCAATCTACTCTGCCTGTGCTCTGTACACTTAACAGCAAAGCCTGGAAGACATCTGTTTACAGCATGATTTGCTGAATATTTGAAGCCCACTGTGGAGACCTACTGCTCAGAAAAAAAAGAATTCTTTCAAAATATTATTTCTTTTTGACAACACACCTGGTTACTCAAGAGCTCCGATGGAGATGTACAAGGAGAGGAATGTTGTTTTCACGCCTGCCAACACAGCATGCATTGTGAAGCCCGTGGTTCAAGGAGCGATTTTGACTTTCAAGTCTTATTAGTTAAGAAATACATTTTGTAAGGCTAAAGCTGTCATAGATAGTGATTCTTCTGACGGATCTGTGCAAAGTAAATGGAAAGCGTTGTGGAAAGGAGTTACCATTCTAGATACCATTAAGAACATTCATGAGGAGGTCAGAATATCAACATCAACAGGAGTTTGGAAGAAATTGATTCCAACCACCCTGGATGACTTTGAGGGGTTCAAGCCTTCAGTGGAGAAAGGAACGGCAGATGTGGCAGAACTCGCAAGAAAACTAGAATTAGAAGTGGAGCCTGAAGATGTGACCGAATTGCAATAAGCTCATGAGAAAACGCGAACAGGTGAGGAGTTGATTTTAACAGATGAGCAAAGAAAGTGGTTTCTTGAGATGGATTCTACTGGTGAGGATGCTGTAAACGTTGTTGAAACGACAACAAAGGATTCAGAAGAGGGTATAAACTTAGTTGATAAAGCAGCAAAGAGGTTTGAGAGGACTGACCCCAATTCTGAAAGAAACTACTGGAGGCAAAATGCTACCAAACAGCATCATATGGCACAGAGAAATCTCTCTAGGCCCCAGTTGTTTCTAAGTGAAGAGAGTTTTAGAATCCATCTCATATATTTGTTGCTAGGATGAAGTTAAAACAAGTAGGATATTTAGGATAGGACGTGGCTCATAACAAGCTCTCCATGAATATTAGCTATCGTTATTCTTAACAAAATTACCAGATTAATAGATTGTCTGCTCTGCTCCTTTGCACTAAATTTAGTAGTTTATTTCATTTATTTTATCTTCATTAAGGCAGCTGGCACAAAATTAGTTTGTTAATCTGGGCAATAGAATTCTTTTTTTTTTCTTTTCTTTTCTTTTTTTTTTTTGAGATGGAGTGTCTCTCTGTTGCCCATGCTGGAGTGCAGTGGCACCATCTCACCTTACTGCAACCTCCACCTCCTGGGTTCGAGAGATTCTCCTGCCTCAGCCTCCTGAGTAGCTGGGACTACAGGCACCCACCACCATGCCCAGCTATTTTTCTATTTTTAGTAGAGACATGGTTTCACCGTGTTGGCCAGGATGGTGTTGATCACTTGAACTCAGGTGATCTACCTGCCTCGGCCTCCCAAAGTGCTGGGATTACAGGGCAAGAGCCACCACACCAGGCCAATGGGCATGTTTTTAACAGTTATTCTCCTAGCACTCATCATTTTATGTTTTCTGTCTTAGCATAAATAAGTTTCAGTCTTACTGATGTGTGTTAAACTGTTCCCCCATTTATACTTCAGTTGGTTTATGGTTTTTAATAATGTAGATACACATGTAAGGAATATTTATATGTTCACTTTTAAAACGTTGTGATAGGCCAGGCGCAGTGGCTCATGCCTATAATCCTAGCACTTTGGGAGACTGAGGCGGGCGCATTGCCTGAGCTAAGGAGTTCAAGACCAGCCTGGGCAACACAGTGAAACCCCGTCTCTACTAAAATATAAAAAAAATTAGCCACGCGTGGCGGCGTGCACATGTAGTCCAGCTACTCGGGAGGCTGAGGCAAAAGAATTGCTTGAACCCAGGAGGCGGGAGGTTGCAGTGAGCCAAGATCGCACCACCGCACTTCAGCCGGGGAAACAGAGTGAGACTCCGTCTCTCTTTTTTTTTTTTTTTGAGACGGAGTCTTGCTCTGTGGCCCCGGCTGGAGTGCAGTGGCGTGATCTCGGCTCACTGCAAGCTCCGCCTCTCTAGTTCACGCCATTCTCCTGCCTCAGCCTCCTGAGTAGCTGGGACTACAGGCGCCCGCCACCACACCCAGCTAATTTTTTGTATTTTTAGTAGAGACGGGGTTTCACCGTGTTAGCCAGGATGGTCTCGATCTCCTGACCTCGTGATCCACCCGCCTCGCCTCCCAAAGTGCTGGGATTACAGGCGTGAGCCACCGCACCCGGCCAACTCCGTCTCTTAAAAAAAACAACAACAACAAAAAACTGTGATAAGGTCAGGCGTGGTGGCTCATGCCTGTAATCCTAGCACTTTGGGAGGCTGAGGCAGCCGGATCACCTGAGTTCAGGAGTTTGAAACCAGCCTGGCCAACACGGTGAAACTGTCTCTACTAAGAAAAATACAAAAATCAGGGGCTGGGCACGGTGGCTCACGCCTGTAAACCCAGCACTTTGGGAGGCCAAGGTGGGCGGATCACGAGGTCAGGAGATCGAGACCATCCTGGCTAAGACGGTGAAACCCCGTCTCTACTAATACAAAAAATTAGCCGGGGATGGTTGCGGGTGCCTGTAGTCCCAGGTACTCGGGAGGCTGAGGCAGGAGAATGGCGTGAACCCGGGAGGCGGAGCTTGCAGTAGGCGGAGATCGTGCCACTGCACTCCGGCCTGGGCGACCAGCGAGAGTCTGTCTCAAAAAAAAAAAAAAGAAAGAAAAATACAAAAATTAGCCAGTTGTGATGGCAAGTGCCCGTAATACCAGCTACTCTGCAGGCTGAGGCACCAGAATAGCTTGAATCCGGGAGGCGGAGGTTGCAGTGAGCCGAGATCGCACCACTGCACTCCAGACTGAGGGACAAAGTGAGACTCAGTCTCAAAAAAAAAAAAAAAAAAGAAAAGAAAAGAAAAAAAAGGAAGCAAGCTGGGTATGTGCGTTTAGAGGTGTTGTACCTTTTCAGCATTGTAAATGAATAGAGATGAGTGGCAATAGTTACTTTGGTCCATAGATTTTTGGTATCTTAACTAGTTTTGGATCTCTTCCACTAAAGGGATTGCCTGTTGCACGTTGTTAGGAATGTAAATACTGAAGGCAAACTGCCTGGGTTTGAATTTTGTTCTGTCCCTTGCACCCTGCCTGGGTTCAAATACTAGCTCTGCTTATGAAGTTCTTTTATGGTGATGACCTTTGAGCAAATGTCTTAGCTTCTGCTTTCCCAAGTAAATGGACACAATAGTTGCTACCTTGTGAAAGATTCATGTAATTGACCAGTGTTTACCAAGCAGCATCAGTGTTCAGTTTCAGTCATTGGTGATTCTGCAGTTGGATTGTGAGGTGGTGCTGGGGTGGGGGGTGGTGTGTGTGTAGCACTTAATTGCACGCGGAAAGGAAAAGATACTTTTTATAACCGAGAGGCAGCTTTTCTCTGCTTTTGTGTCAAAAGGGAAGAAGGGAGTTTGGAGAGGGAAACCAATTCTCTTTAATACTAAGCTCTCTTCTTCAAAATCAGAGGTAGATAGAATGTGTAATAATTTACAGAATTTCTAGACTTCAACAATCTGATTTTTTTAAGTATATTTTTATTTTTTCAGGTTGAGACTGAGCTACAGTTAATCTGTGGCGAGGTGCTGGATGCACTGGACAAACACCTCACTCCAGTAGCTGACACTGGCAAGTCCAAGGTTTTCTATTAGGAAATGTAGGTTCTATACTAGAAAGGAAAATGTAAGATTAAAAGTTGGCCTTTTTAGAATCATGACTTTCTTCTATGTAGGTTTCCAACTTTTATTTAAAAATAATTGTTTAATGTTAGAAGGATAGTCAATGTTGGGATAAAAAGATGGTCAGGCTATTATAAAAAATGCATTAGCTTTTGCTTTACCTATTTATATTCTTTTGCTTTCATGGGACCTATCTCATTCCCCTCCCCTAAACGGCCACACATTTCACAGTGCTGGCTGAAAGTTTCATGTAGAAATTTTATTTTATGATTAATACACTTGTGCCATTTCTTGGAACCACTTGCTTGTTTAATTCTAGTCTATCAAGTGATAATTTTCTTGATATTTAGAGGCTCCTCAGTTAATTTCTGTGGGATTTTTCGTTATATTTAATAAGGAAAATAATAGGAAATAGCTAAGAAAAAAAGAAACAAAGCCAATTATTCCTGAGCGTGTTTAAAATTATTGAAGTACACTTGTTAATTTTTAGTATAGAACCTACATTTCATAATAGAAAACCTTGGACTTGCCAGTGTTAGCTGCTGGAATAAGGTGTTTGTCCAGTACATTCAGAATGTCGCCACAGATTAACTTTAGCTCAGTCTCAACCTGAAAAAATAAAAATGAATTTTAAAAAATTCAGATTGTTGAAGTCTAGAAATTCTGTAAGTTATTACACATTCTATGTACCTCTGATTTTGAGGAAGAGAGCTTAGTATTGAACAGAATTAGTTTCCCTCTCCAAACTCCATTCCTCCCTTTTGACACAAAAGCAGAGAAAAGCTGCCTCTGGGTCATCAAAAGTATCTTTTCCTTTCTGCGTGCAATTAAGTGCTACACACACACACCACCCCCACCCCAACACCCCATCACAGTCCAACTGCAGAATCACCAATGACTGAAACTGAACACTGATGCTACTTGGTAAACACTGGTCAATTACATGAATCTTTCACAAGGTAGCAACTATTGTGTCCATTTACTTGGGAAAACAGAAGCTAAGACATTTGCTCAAAGATCATCACCTTAAAAGAACTTAATAAGCAGAGCTAGGATTTGAAGCCAGGCAGGGTGCAAGGGACAGAACAAAATTCAAACCCAGGCAGTTTGCCTTCAGTACTTATATTCCCCAAATGCAGGCCCTCCATTTGGAGAGTGGATGGAGTAGGAGAGAAGGGCTGCAAGGACCCAGATAGGCAGACAGAGGAACAGAGAGGGAACCAAAGACCCTACTTGCAAGGTGTCCCCAGAGGCAAAGGTATCGTCCACGGGGGACATGGGGACCTGGAGGCTGCACAAGGACAGCTTTGCTCTGGTCATGGGAGCCCTCTTGCTTCCCACACCTTCAACTTACTCCCCATTGCTGTCTGTCATTGATCCCCAGGTGGGGCAAGTGAGGGACCTGAGTCAGCATGTGGCTGGCTGCTGGGAGAGGGAGCACCCGCTGAGTCACGGCTCCTCCCCTGGAGCCTCCATGCGCCATCTAGGCAGGTGTGCACTGCCCACTGGTGCAGGGCTGTGGGTACCTGCACCTGTCTGTCAACACTGATTCTTTCTCATACAACAGGCACTTGCCACCACTCTGCCCAGCCAGACCCTATCAGACCACAGTGAGGGGATGGAGTGGGCCCGCATAGGTGCCTCCACCTGAGTCTAGGCACCCCAGGCTTGTGTCTGCTGGGACACACCTAGCAGGGAGGCTGAGAGCACCGGCTTCGGAGCCAGGCAGGTCATAGTGTAAAGCCGGATTCTTCCACTTATTTGGGGAAAGTTGCTTCCCCTCTCTGAACCTGTTTCCTCACTGTAAATTCAGATTCATCCTTTATTGAGCACCTACTATGTGCCAGGCATTGGGTTGAGTGCTGGCGATAAAGTAATGAGCAAGCCCTTATCTTGATGAACAGTTACGGAATAAAATAGACCTGCAGAAATAAACACGCAATTCACAACTGAGGTGAGCATGGTTGGTGGGGGAATGGAGAGCACATAATAAAGGGTGTGGCATGGTTGGGGGCATCAGTGACCTTCTCCCTGAGAAAGAGACACTTGAGTGAAGGGGGAGGAGAAGTGAGCCAGGAGAAGGAAAAAGGGGAGGGGCATACAGCATGTGCAAATGTCCTGAGGTGGAAACAAGCAAAGTGACTGCCAGGGCAGGAGTCCTGTGTGGCTAAAGGGCAGTGAGTTAAGTCAAGCAAAGGATTTTCGGTGGGAGCAGGGAGGAGGGGGCTGGAGCCAGGGCACAAGCCTGCCAGGCTCCCTTTGTGCAGGGCACGTCAAGGGGCCACACTGATTGTCTCTGCAGGCTCTCCATGACTGCCTGGCTGTGGGGAGGGACCAGACTGTACTAAGGCTTATGGGCGGCGGCAGCCACAGCCCAGACTAGTGAGCTAATGAGCGGTTTGGATGTCTTGCCTGCTCCCGTTAGAGCCTCGCTCCTCCCCTGTGCTGGAAGGTAGGACACAAGGGCCCCAGCCTTGGCTCTGCCATTAATTTGCTATGTGACCTGCAGCTGGTCACAGCACCTCTCAAAGCTTCAACTGCTTCCTCTGTAAAATGTAAGGACAGGACTCACTGATCTCACTTGATCTGAGGATTTGACATCAGAAGGGGATGAGCAGGCTGGGGAAGAGAGAGCATCCTCTCACTGATCAGCTCTTAGGGCATCCAAGACCTCGAAAGAAGGGATCTGGGGTGGGCTCTGTCCTATAGAGAAATCTTAAGGTGTCAGTGTCCTGGGGCATCTATTGTTCCCAGAAGGAGCTAGCTGGAATGGCACCTTCTGCTGCCCATTCACCCACCTTGTTCCTCAGATCCTCGATGGTCTTGAAGTAGGGACTGTAGTCTTTGATCTCAGCAGGCCGCTGCCACTGGTACCAGTCATGGATCTTCACCTCCAGGTCAGCGTTGGCCTCCTCCAGGGCACGCGCCTTGTCCAGGTAGGAGACCAGGCTGTCGTTGAGGTTCTGCATGGTCACCTTCTCACTGCCCACCAGAAGCCCATCACCACCAGCAAAGCCACCACCCAAGCCACCACCGAAGCCAGCACCAAGGCCATCACCATATCCTCCCCCAAAGCCACTAGCAAAGCTGCTGCTGCTGCTGAAGCTACCGCCATAGCCGCCCCCCAGCCTGTAGGCTCCCCCAGAGGAGAAGCAGGAGGAGGAGACAGACAGGCCACCCCTGTAGGTGCTGGTGGCGCGGCAGGACCCTCCGGCCAGGACGGAGGAGATGCGGCTGGAGCCGCCCCCGATGCCGCCCCCGATGCCGCAGGAGCCCTTCATGGAGCTGGAGGAGGTGAACTGGCGGCTGCAGGTGCTCATGGTGCTGAGGAGGGAGGTGAGTGAGCGAGCAGTTGGCTGAGTGAAGAGAAGGTGCTCAGGTAAATTGGAAAGGGATGCGAGTGCTTTATACTCATGGGTAGGGGGCGGGCCTGGCACTTTCCATTCCCCTTGGCTTTCATCACCCACAGGCTAGTGACAACTCCCAGCCAGGTCCCTCCTCTCCTCCGCCTCATCATGTCTGTCATATTTTACTGGAAACTCATTGTTTGGGGTGTTTTGGGCTTTCTTGTCCCGCCAGGCATGATTCACAGGGGGAGGTATGGGCCTGCAGGCTACACTTTCCCATGGGGCCCCGGGAGTCCCAGCCCTCAGGAACCCGCACACTGGGCTCAGCCAGGGTGACAGAGAGCAGGGCCTCTGCACCTTAAACCTGGTGACCTGCTAGCTCTCCATGAACTGGATGGGCCTTTACCATCCACTTAGAGGAAGCCCACCACTGCAGGGGACAGATACCCAGCTGGAGAGCACCGGCATGGCAAGGTCACCTTGGGCACAGAGAGGCGTCCCTCACCATGACCCGCTGTTAGAGACAAGGAGGTCTGAGGGGCCCTCCCAGGCCTGACCTGCCATGCTGTGCTGAGAAGCCTGTCCCATCCCTGAAATACACTCAGCCAGTCAGGTGTATGGTGATTCCCACCCCAACACCCCCATCAAAGAGAAATCCAGGCAGCTCTCCCCAGCCCCGGGCACAGACCCTAATTTCCTCCCTACGGTGAGGATCTGACATCCACCACACCATAGGGCGGGTGGCCTCATGGAGGCCAGGAAACAGCCTGGAGTCAGGTGGGTCCTGGCTCTGCCATTTACGGCCCCGTGACCCAGGGCTTGGCGCTTCTCTGAGCCTCAGTGTTCTCATCTGCAAAGTGGGAGTCATACCATCTACTCTGCCTACTGCAGTCAGCTGTGAGAAGCCAATGCGACAGCGTATGTGAAAGGCTTTTGTAAACCGAGTATGGCAAGAAGCCTGGTTGGCATTGTTGTAGCCCAGGCTTAGCCCCAAAGTGGATGGAGCTGCATCCAGGAACAGGCCTAGGGGGGCCTTTTTTTCTTCCAGCCCCAGATATCCTCTCAGACCCCCAGAACATCCCTAGTGTAGGCAGAAGTCTGGCTCAGGTGCCCTCGTTTGAGCCCCTTGTGGAACTGGCCCAGGAGATGTTCTGGGGAGGAGTAGAAGCTGGAGTGGTGCCAGGCTGTGCCAAGGGCAAGGCTGAAGTGGACACGAGGGTCCCTGACTCCTGAAGCCCCAAGGGTCAGGGGACATTTCTAGGAGTCCACTTGGTCCTGCTTTGGAGGTGTGTATATCAAAACTTCAGCAATCTCCCAGACAACCTCCCAAAGCAAACCCTTCCGGCCCCCACCCCACCCTCCCGTCAGCCCCTGGGCTCCACAGACCCCAGCAGGCATGTTGGGAGGAATGTGGTCGTGTCTGGGGCTGCCTGACGCGTCCTATCTCCTCAGACAGGCCCCAACAGCCCCTGCTGGAGGCTCCACTGCTCTTCCTGGGATCAACTGTTCCTAGAAGAGAAGCAGGACCCTCTCTCACCCCACCCCCAACCTTGACTGTCACCAAAGAAGAAGCCAGAGAGGGGAGCCCCCCACTACTGTGGCCTAGGAGCTTGGAAGACAATACTGAGACAGACACCTGTGCTGTGGGCTCCCCAAATCTGCCAGCAAAGGACTCTCGAGGATGTGAGTAAGCCAGGGCCCCACCCCGCTCCACCCACCCCTGACAGACACTCCTAATCTCCCTGCAGAGAATGGTTCCCCCACCCTGACCCAGTCCTACAATTTCCCCAGAGAGAGGCAACAGGGGTTTTGGCTGAGGGGCAGATGCTTTTGTTGGGAGGCATGTTGCTGTTGGCTGTGGGGCAAGGGAAGGCTGTGCTCACTGGAGAAAAATGCTGTGTCCAGAGGGATCTGGGAGTGGGAATGGGGTGCAGGGCCCGGTACTGGCTTCCTCTGTGCCCCGCCACCCCCACCCACCACCACCACCGTCTCCTTCTTCTGCAGGGATCAGGAATAGAAGCTCCAGAGCCCAGGACATAGGAACAGCTTTACTTTCCCTTTCATTTGATTCAATGGAACCCAAAAGAAACTCCTTCCTCCCCCTGCTCCAAGGGGAATCCAAAAGATAAAGATGGCAGGGAACCAGTGACAGATCAGTCCATGCACATAATCTTAAAAGGCACTTCTGCAGCCCCATCCCAACCCCACGCACCGACTCCGGAGCTCTAGCATGGAATATAAGCCTGATCCCCCACACCGGTTCTCAGAACCGTGGCCTAACCTGGAGCCTGAGGCCAACCTCTCTTCCCCTGCAGTCAAGGACTCAGTGACCAAGGAGCTGCAAACAGCCCGGCCAAGCAGGGAGCAGACTTAGAGGACACCACACTCCCGTCCCCTCCCTGATGCCAAAGAAGCATGGTACTCAGACATTTTAAGGGAGGGCATTTTCTGGGTTATCAGGGGTTAAAGGGTTGCCAGTCTTGACAGCTGAGGCCCAGAGTACCCCCCACCTCTGGACTTCCAGGCAGGCTTTGTGTGAGCAGCATTACCTGACCCTCCCTCCAGCCTGCCCCAAAAGGAAGGGGGTAAAGGAGGAGCCCCGGGCAGGACCTCCTGTGGTTAGTGAGTCTCCCTGCACCACCCTACATGGGGGAGCCCCGTGCCAATACTAAAATTATTGTAAATGGATAAAATCCATGGGGTCAAAGAGATCAGGAAAGTAGATTATAGCAATCAAATTTTGGAATCTGGAAAACAAAGACAAAGAAAGCCCAGCGCTTGCCCAGAGAGAAGCCAAGAGGCAAAGCATATTTACACTCTGGAACTTTTTAACTCTGAATTTTTAAGAACTCTGGAAAGTCTCTGGAATAGGGGGCACCAGGTACCTCTGACAGTGAGGAACAAGTGAACTAGAAATAGTAGGGTGAGCTAGAGATCTATATAAAAAGCAGAGAGGTGGCCGGGCACGGTGGCTCATGCCTGTAATCCCAGCACTTTGGGAGACCGAGGCGGGTGGATCATGAGGTCAGGAGATCGAGACCGTCTTGGCTAACACGGTGAAACCCCGTCTCTGCTAAAAATACAAAAAAATTAGCCAGGCGTGGTGGCGGGCGCCTGTAGTCCCAGCTATTCGGGAGGCTGAGGCAGGAGAATGGTGTGAACCCGGGAGACAGAGCTTGCAGTGAGCCGAGATGGTGCTACTGCACTCCAGCCTGGGCAACAGAGTGAGACACCATCTCGGGAAAAGAAAAAAAAAAAGCAGAGAGGCCCCTATAGCTCCTCTCTCCCTTCCTTGTCTGAACCCAACCACTCCACGATTACTCCAGGAGAAACTAGATGTTTATGCTTGAGAATTTCCCCAGAGGGACTCTGAATCCTGAGACACCAAGCAGGGCCAATAAACTGCAATCAACTAGTAGCAGAGTAGCTGAGACTGAGACCTTCTCTGCCCCCTTCCTGCACTCAGCTTCCAGAAAGCTGGTAGCTTTTACAATCCAGACAGGGAATTAGAGGTATTCCTTCTGAGGAAGACCCTCCCCAAGAAAAGTCCTACAGATAACTGTCCCCCAACGAAACAGCTTATTCTCCACCAGATTACTCTATACTGAGACCTACCAGTGGCAAGCTCCCATGCTATCCATACACATATACACATATTCCAATCAGTTTCTCAGTGACTTACTCTTAAATATGAACGACTACCAAGGACCACCATACATCTGAGAAAAGCCTCTGGCATGAAAGATGGAGGCAAGACAAACAGCAAGAAAGAAACTGAGGAAACTGAGCTGATGACAGAAATAGAAGCACTGCTGGAGCCAGGACTAATAGGCTCAAAGAGATCAGAGAAACCATTGCATCTTGAAACAAGAACAAGAGACTGTTGAAAAAACATGCAGAGCTATGAGAGATGAAAAATATAAAAGATTATTGTTGTTTTTAAGACAGGATCTCACTCTGTTGCCCAGGCTAGAATGTGATGGTGTGATCTCAGCTCACTGCAGCCTTGACTTCCCAGGCTCAAGTGATCGTCCCACCTCAGCCTCCCTAGCAGCTGGGACTACAGGCCTAGGCCACCACATCCAGCTAATTTTTATATATTTTGTAGAGACAGGGTCTTACCATGTTGCCCAGGCTGGTCTTGAACTCCTGGGCTCAAGCAATCCACCCACCTTGGCCTCCCAAAGTGCTGGGATTACAGGCATGAGATGCTGTGCCCGGCCAAATACAGCAGATTTTTTAAAACTCTGAATAATGGAGTTAGAGGTCAAAGTTAAAGAAATTTCTCAGAAAACAGCAACAAAGAAAAAAAGACAAGACGGAAAATAAAACAGAATACATAGGAAAAAGAGCCATTTCAGAAAGAGAGAAAATGGAGGGAGGAAATCATGAAACACGAAAATTTGCCAGAATTGAACAACATGAGCTCCCACATTGGAAGTTTCTGCTAGTGTCCAGCCAGTGGATGAAGTCACAGCTGCATCAATTCAACACATGGTATTTCAGCCTGCTGGAGAGAAAGAGAAGAACTGAAAAGCTTCTAGGGAAGAGTGTGGGAATAGGATAATAAGACGTGATCTAGAATCAATATGGCATAAGACTTCTCAACAGCAACACCAGAATCCAAGAAACACTGAAACTGTACCTTCAAATGCTGAGTGCAAATGGTTTCCAAGCTAGAATTCCATACCCAGCCAAACTATCAGTCAAGAGTGAGGATCAACTAAAGATCTTTTTGACACAAACGGTCTAAAAAAATTTAACCCTGATAACTCCCTTCCCAGGAAACTACTTGAGGATGTGCTTCACTAAAACAAAGGGAAAAATGAAAACAGGAAGGAGGAAGACATTGGATCCAGAAAACAAGGAAAGCAACACAGGAAAAAGAAGGATTTCAGGATGATGGTGAAGAGAGATTCCAGGATCACAGCTGAGCAGGAGACCCAAACAGCACCCAGAACAGACAAGAGCAGGACAGAAGGCCCTAGGAGACACATCTTCATGAGGATGAAATTGAAGGAACACCCAGGGTTCTAAAATACTGAGGAGATTTATGCTTCCAGCAGTGAATCAGGAAACAAATTAATCATCAATACATAGAAAGTTTAGGCAAATTGAAAAAGAGATATTTATTCCAAGGAAATTTAATATAGTATAAAATGTAATATAGTATAATATATGATTTGACTATGAATAACATTTAAATAGTCATGATAATGTAAACATTTATTTAACAAAAATATGAATATATTGAGAAGGTGGGAAGAAGATATTTTAAAAAGAAGTGGGGAAGGGCAATGCTGTATAACAGATCTACATCCTCATCCTTCACAGCCAGAAGTCAAGCAATTAAAAACTGAAACAGAAAAACCAAACAGTAACAAGGTAAAGCCTGTTATTTAGAAGTAAGGAGACAAATCCCAAAAGAAACAGCTGAAGTTGAAAAGGGGAGGCAGGAACAGAGCTGTGGTATCCAGTCTAGGGATGGCTTTTTCATTAAAAAAAAAAAAGTCTTATTCACAATAGCAAAGACTTGGAACCAACCCAAATGTCCATCAATGATAGACTGGATTAAGAAAATGTGGCACATGTGCACCTTGGAATACTATGCAACCATAAAAAAGGATGAGTTCATGTCCCTTGCAGGGACATGGATGAAGCTGGAAACCATCATTCTAAGCAAACTATCACAAGGACAGAAAACCAAACACCACATGTTCTCACTCATAGGTGGGAGTTGAACAATGAGAACACATGGGCACAGGGCGGGGAACATCACACATCGGGGCCTGTCAGGGGGTGGGAGACTGTGGGAGGGATAGCATTTGGAGAAATACTTAATGTAAATGATGAGTTGATGGGTGCAGCAAACCAACATGGCACATGTATACCTATGTAACAAACATGCATGTTGTGCATGTGTACCCTATAACTTAAAGCATAATAATAAAAAAAAAAGTCTTGGCCGGGTGCCATGGCTCACGCCTATAATCCCAGCACTTTGGGAGGCCAAGACAGGCAGATCACGAGGTCAGAAGATCGAGACCATCCTGGCTAATACGGTGAAACCCTGTCTCTACTAAAAATACAAAAGAAAATTAGCCGGGCATGGTGGTGGGTGACTGTAGTCCCAGCTACTTGGGAGGCTGAGGCAGGAGAATGGTGTGAACCTGGGAGGTGGAGCTTGCAGTGAACTGAGATCGCACCACTGCACTCCAGCCTGGGCGACACAGCAAGACTCTGTCTCAAAAAAAAAAAAGGCTTATGATGTTATACATACATAACTTTTTTAAATTTAAATATTTAAAATATGGAAGGCATCCAGGAAGAAGGAATGGCAACTGAGAGGTATGGGTCATATCTCAGTCAGGTAGGGGTGACTCGGGGGTTTGGAGCTGGGAGGGACAGGAGGACACCAAGCTGGGTTGAGACTGAAGGCTGAGTGCTGGAGGGGAATGGGATCCATCGCCGGCTGTTAAGCAGGGGAGTCCTGATCTCACCCTTGTTCTTGATCCTGACCACATTCTGGTGGAAATCATTCAGTGGAAATTGAATGTGGATGAGATTGACTCTCAAGGGGACCCAGTTAGGCTGTGCCCAGGTCTAGGGAGAGAGGAAGAAGATCTGAACATGGCAATGGCCATGGGGCAGCAGGTGTTTCCTAGGGTGCTCATCAGCACGCAATTCACCAGCTGAGGGGAATGAGGAAGGAGGAGTTGATGGGGTGTGAGGAGAAGCAGGCTGGGAGAAGGAGGATTTCAGGTCTGACGAGGACATCGTTCTCAAGGCAGATACCACTCCCTTCCACCCTCCAATGTAGAAACTGTGTGCAGATGTGGGGGAGCCCATGGGTAGAGTTAAGATTCAAGCGTGGGAGTCTTCGGGTTAAAATACCTGAAAAGGTAGAGTGGTGTTAAAAGAAAGGCATGGACTTTGCAGACAGACAGAACTGAGTTTGAGCTCCAGCCGTGCCACTTACTATCTGCATGATTTTACGCAAGTTACTGAAACTCTGAATTCTGGGGGTTGTCAAATTCCAAAATGGGCCTGACCACACCCACCTCACAGGGTTGCAAGGGCAACCTCGTAAAATAACCTCTGTAGAATGCCTCCATGGTGTCAGTCAGCACGTGTGGACACTCCCCCATCCTGTGTCCCACCTCCCACTTCCATAGAGCATGGAGGTCTTCCAGGAAGAGCCTTCAAGATCTTCTGAGATTTGTCCCATTTCCCACATCTCTCAGGCTGTGAGGCTCCAGGAGGTTTCTGGAAAGCACCTGCAACTCCCCTCCCATCAGTTCAAGAACAGAGATCACACAGGTTTGCATCAACCAGAAAGTCAGCTTTATTAGCCCATCACCAGTAGAGGAGCAGGGAGACAGCTGGGAACTGCGCTGGGAGAGCAGGGTCCTGACCCAGGCCTTCAGGAGGTGAGGCCAGCTGGTGGGCAGGAGGCTGTGGTAGAGGCAGCTCAGTTCTAGGAGCACTGGCCCTGGCTGAAGCTGGATGAGCCCTGCTCCTTGAGGATGGGCCAGGTCTGACGGCTCGAAGAGGACGAAGAGGAGGTGAAGACTGTGGGAGAGAGAAGAGGAGGTGAGAAGGGGTCTGAGAGCTAAGCCAACTCCAGGGCAGGGAGAAGGGAGAGCTGGGAGCTCTCAGGAGAAGGGCCTGGCCCCCACTCCATGGAAACAGGCAGAGGGGTTGCAGTGCCGGGGAGCCTCAGGAGCCTTACCCACTCGGGAAGAACAGGATTGGCCAGATGCGTGTGGGGAGGAAAGGCTGTGGGTGAGAAAAGGCAGGGCAGTCAGTTGTGCTGAGAGCAGCAGGGGGGCTAAAGGGTCTGGGAGGCAGAACTGAGGGGCCTGGGACTCACTGGGCGTCCTCGCCCTCCAGCAGGTGGCGGTAGGTGGCGATCTCCTGCTCCAGCCGTGTCTTCATGTCCAGCAAGATCTGGTACTCCCGGCTCTGCTGCTCCATCTCACAGCATAGCTGGGCCAGCTGCTCCTCCACACTGCCAATCAGTCCCTGGATCTGGGACAGCTGCATGCAGTGGCAGCCTTTGGTTTCCTCCAGGCTGTTCTCCAGGGACGCTTTCTGCAAGTGAGAGAGAGAAAAAGAGTCAATGGAGGTGGTCACTCCTGTCCCTCCAGGTCTCTGGGCATGTTTTTTGAGAGGTGCCTGGATTTTGATCCCAGTTGGGGTACTGATGGGCCAGACAATATAGAGAAATGCTAGCCCACTATTCTAGGGCTAGTTTCTCTATCTATATAACAGGTCCCGTGAGTCCTCTGGTCCCATCCTGAGAAAAGAAAGGTGGAACTAAATTGTGGCTTGTTGAGGGGGTGGTGGCCATTACTGGTGACCTGGGGGCTGCTGCTGTGCCGGGTCCTTCATACTATGCTGAGCTGGGACTGCAGCTCCATCTCCAGGCCCTGGAACACCCTCTGGAGCTCCGTCACCTCACTGCGGCTGCTCTGTACCAGTTCACTGCTGGAGGCCACTTTTTTGTTCAGCTCCTTGGTCTGAGACAGGAAAGCAGAGTGAAAGGTGAGGCTCTCCCAAAGCCCCCAGCTGGGAAGTGCTGCAGGCCCACTGAGGGCCCAAGCCCCACCTTGCTCAGGAACCAGGCCCAGCATCTCTGTGGTTGTGCTTTGCCATCTGCTCGTACTGGTTGCGCATCTCATTCAGGATGCAGCTCAGGTCCACGCCAGGTGCGGCATCCGTCTCCACGTTCACTTCTCCACCGGTCTGACCTCGCAGAGCAAGCATCTCCTGGGAAGGGATGGCAGGAGGCGGTCAGCTCAGCAGACTCCTCTCCTGGCCCTGGGTGCATCTGGCAACCCCACCAAACCAGCCTCCCATCCCGGAAGCCAGCAGCAACCACACCTCCTAGTGGTTCTTCCTCAGGTAGGCCAGCTCCTCCTTCAGGCCTTCTATCTGCATCTCCAGGTCAGTCCTGGCCAGGGTCAGCTCGTCCAACACCCGGCACAGGCCATTGACGCCAGCCTCCACAGTCAGCCGCAGGGCCAGCTCGTGCTCCTAACTGGCAGGACAGAGGTCAGGTCCTTAGGCTGCAGCCCTGAGGATTCTGAGGCTCGGGGTCTGCTGGCCCTGCTGGGTGGACAGCTCCACTCTTTGTCCCTTGCCCTCTGCCCCCAGCCCACCATGCTGGCTGCTCACTTGGTCCTGAAGTCATCAGCTGCCAGCCTGGCATTGTCAATCTGCAAAATGGGCTGCGCATTCTCAATGGTGGCCGCAATGATCTGGAGTGGGGATGGAGGACAGGAGCCCTGGTCAGGCAAGGACCTTACTACTTGAGCGTGAAAGGCAGAAAGGGGCAAAAGGAACCTCCTCAAATCTGGAAGTCTTCTGGCTGGCAGGGCTGGCATGCCTTCTCCACCAGCTCAGGGTATGCAGGGATGCACTCCATCCCGATCACCCCCTTCCTGGGCCCAAGGCAGGGAAGCGGAACTTGCAGCTGAACCCTTGCAGGAAATAAGAGATTCAGGGTAACAGCCCCAGTCCGGGCACAGAGATGCTGAAAAGGGACCCTCTGCCACCACTTCCCTGGATGATCCTGGCTACTCCCCAAAGGTGCCCAGTCTCCCTGTTTGTAAAGTGCAATTGCTAAAAAGAGGTATCCCAAGGGACACTATAGCCCCAGCCTCTCTCAGTGCTCCATACACCAAAGTCACCCACCTTGTGCCTCAGGTCCTCGATGGTCTTGAAGTAGGGACTATAGTCTTTGATCTCACTGGGCCGCTGCCTCTGGTACCAGTCACGGATCTTCACTTCCAGGTCGGCGTTGGCCTCCTCCAGAGCACGCACCTTGTCTAGGTAGGAGGCCAGGCGGTCACCGAGGTGCTGCATGGTCACCTTCTCACTGCCCACCAGAAGCCCATCACCACCAGCAAAGCCACCACCCAAGCCAGCACCCAAGCCACCACCGAAGCCAGCACCAAGGCCACCACCATATCCTCCCCCAAAGCCACTAGCAAAGCTGCTGCTGCTGCCGAAGCCACCGCCATAGCCGCCCCCCAGCCCGCAGGCTCCCCCAAAGGAGAAGCGAGAGAAGGAGACACACAGGCCCCCCCGTAGGTGCTGGGGGCATGGCAGGACCCTCCGGCCAGGACAGAGGAGATGCGGCTGGAGCCGCCCCCGATGCTGCCCCCGATGCTGCAGGAGCCCTTCATGGATCTGGAGGAGGTGAACTGGTGGCTGCAGGTGCTCATCGTGCCAAGGAGGGAGGTGAGCGAGCGAGCAGTTGGCTGAAAAAAGGGAAGGTGCTCAGGAAGGCTAAGAGCATGCTGTGGCTGCCTCCAACCCCAGAGACCTTTATATGCACCTGGGGAAGGCGGGGCCCTCCTAACTGCTGACTCCAGGTTCCCCTCTGGATTTCATCACTCCCAGTCCCGTCCAACTCCTCACTCTGGATTATTCAGCCCAGGATCAACTCCGCTGTGTGCTGGCTCAGAGTTCCCACCCAGCTTTGAGAGTGTGGAGCTGAGAGAAAAACACACAAATGCGAGTCGGTGGTGACTCAGGCTAGGTGGCCGGGAATCAGGCTCCCGTTCCTGGAGCCCTTGGGGCCAGTGGGGCCTTGGCACAGGTGGCTTTGTGGCAACTGCGTCCCCAGGCAGTGAGTCAGCCCTTCAGAAGAACTCCCTGCCCCACAGTGACAGCCTTGGCTGAAAGAGACCTCAGTGATGCCATCCTGGGCTGTCTTGGGGAGCAGTTGCGGGGATCCTACATGTCCCACTCTGGGCAGGGGCAGAGTTCGTGTCTTCACTCTGCTTGCTGTGTGGCCTGAGGCTCCCCACCTCCCACCTCTGGGCCTGTTTCCCCTCAGTGGTGACCAGGCTGGACTGGGTGATTGCAGAGTCCCTTCTGGTTCTAAAAATCCTATGACTCTCTTTCCCCTCTTGGATCTAATTCCAGTTCCGGAGGCTGCCTTGAGCCCCCGGGATCTCCAGAAGTGTGTGCACCATACAAACAGCACTGGCCATGGAGCCAGACAGGCGGCACTGAGTCCCTGCTCTGCCCTTACCAGCTGTACAGCACAGGCTGGTCTTACAGCCCCTTGGTCCTCAGTTTTCTCATCTGTAAAAGGGGATGACACACCACTAGCCACAAAGAAACATGTGCGAAGCGCCCCACTGGCCCTTCCCCAAGGGCCAGCCCTGCCCCTCATCCTCCTCATCCTCCCCCTCCAGCCACCTGCTCCTCACACTCACCTCTACACACTGGCACCCTCCCGAACCGCTACGCGGGGCCCTGCGTCCCCCACACTCCCAGCAGAAGAACACCACAGCCCCACACCTAGCTCCTCCACTCCTCTACCGCCCTCTCCTAATCACAGGCACCCCACCTGCAGGCCGGTGGGAGGGAGCCCCGTCCTGCCACTGCAGCCAAGTGTGACCCCTGACCCCGCCGTGGGCCTCAGAGTTCCCCCCTACCCTGTAGAAACAGGACTGGCTGGGGATCCGTTCCCAGCAGTTCTCTCTCCTGTGTCCACAGATCCCACGCTGGGCCTGGCAGCTCCATTCATCCAGCTGAGCTGGGGGAGAGCACCGGTCATGGGCCCACTCAGGCACGCATGGAGAGCCTGGTGTGTGTTGTACGGTTCTGTGAGCAGGGATGACGGGGGCGTTATTCCTGCCACCAGTCCTCAGGTGAGGGAGCTGGGATTCAGGGAGGATAAGTGGGCTTCCCAAGACACCAGGCACTGGAAGCTGAGATGTGAACCTGCCTGCCTGTTCTCCTTGCCTAAGCCTGTTCTGTCATCCTGAGCCCTCTCTCTGTGCATCTCAAATTTATATCATTTTCTTGATCAGAGGGGACAGAGGGGTAACCAGAGACAGGTGGAGATTCACTCAAAGTCACTCTGCTTTAAGCTGCAGAGCTGCAACTAGAACCCAGACCTCAGCCCTCTCCAGGCTCCCACCATGCCTGCAGGCGGGGCCAGTATACCCAACTCTCACCCACCTCCCCACGATCACTGGCATGAGGTCTGCCCAGGGTGGGCGTGGCCTTGGCCTGAGAGGCTGGTGCAGCACCGAGGACTGGAGGGAGGAGGAGGGATCTGGGCACCAAGACGGGGCCTCCTCAGGGTGCCGTGGGGCATCCCTTGGTGCTGGCCACTGGCCTTGCTCTGCAGTGCCTCTGTTGAGGTGAGGAGCCCAGAGACAGCCTGCCTCTGCCTGGGCTCCACTGGGGCAGGCAATTCCTTGTCTCAGCAGAACCAGGGTTTTGTTGCTGCTACATCTCCCCTGGTCACTCTGGGATCAGAGGTAAGAGCAGAATGGATGCACATGCCTTCAGAGCCAAACCTGGGAGAGGGAACCCGACACTCCCCACCTGAAGGGGTGGCCTGCCCCTCCACACCTGTGGGTGTTTCTCGTGGGGTGGGATGAGAGACTGAGAAAAGAAAGAGACACAGAGACAAAGTACAGAGAAAGAAAAATGGGCCCAGGGGACTGGCGCTCAGCATACAGAGGACCCACGCTGGCCCCAGTCTCCGAGTTCCCTCAGTATTTATTGATCATTATCTCTACCATCTCTACCATCTCCCAGAGGGGGATGTGGCAGGACAATAGGGTAATAGTGGGGAGAGGGCCAGCAGGAAAATGTGAACAAATGTCTCTGTGTCATAAACAATGTTAAGGAAAAGGTGCTGTGCTTTGATGTGCACATACATAAACATCTCGGTGCATTAAAAAGCAGTGTTACCGCCAGCATGTCTCACCTCCAGCCCTAAGGCGGTTTTCTCCTATCTCAGTAGATGGAATATACAATCGGGTTTTACACCGAGACATTCCATTGCTCAGGGATGAGCAGGAGACAGACGCCTTCCTCTTATCTCAACTGCAAAGAGGCCTTCCTCTTTTACTAATCCTCCTCAGCACAGACCCTTTACGGGTGTCGGGCTGGGGGACGGTCAGGTCTTTTCCCTTCCCATGAGGCCATATTTCAGACTATCACATGGGGAGAAACCTGGCTTTCCTAGGCAGAGGTCCCTGCGGCCTTCCTTCCGCAGTGTTTTGTGTCCCTGGGTACTTGAGATTAGGGAGTGGTGATGACTTTTAACAAGCTAGCTGCCTTCAAGCATTTGTTTAACAAAGCACATCCTGCATAGCCCTAAATCCATTAAACCTTGAGTCGACACAGGGCATGTTTCTGCGAGCACAGGGTTGGGGTAGGGTTACAGATTAACAGCATCTCAAGGCAGAAGAATTTTTCTTAGTACAGAACAAAATGGAGTCTCTCATGTCTACTTCTTTCTATATAGACACAGTCCGTATAGAAAGAGACACTGATCTCTCTCTTCCCCACACCCACCCCCACCCCAAAGAGGGACAAAGGGGACCCCGGAATCTTGGACAAAAACCTCAGCGTTCAGGTGTCAGGGTGGGCCTGGAGTTCCAGTCCAACCACAGACCCATCACCCTCAGAACTGAAAATGGTCTTCAAGGTCACCAAAGGCTATCAATACCCCAACCGGAGAGGGCGAAAGCCTTATCCAGGTTAAGCAGCACAAAAGTGAGAGAGCACAGACCGGAGCCAGCTCCAACTCCCAAGCCAGGATTCACACCGACTCTCACAGTGGAGTCTCCGAGAACTCTTCACTCTCTGCCCCCACCGTGTGTGCGTGCACACACACCCCTTTCTCATTGGCTCACTGCCCCCCGCCAAGTTCCCCATTCCAGGAGGTGTCAGGGTGGGATTATACACAAGCCCAGCACTGCAGACCTGAGGATCTGCGTGGGCTGAGAAGCTGCAGGAAGTTGCTGACCAACGCGCCAAACTGCTCAGCCAACTCCATAGATCACGCAGCTGCTGTGTGCACAGCTCTCGGGGGCTGGGGGTGAAGAGGGAAATGATGACGTAGTCTCTGACCTTAGAAGAACTTATCATTTGACCCTGGAGGGAAAACTAACGCTGGAAAATGCAGAACCTGGCTAGAAACCCTAGGGTGCTGGGCTTGCCTGCCACGCCCACACCACCGGAGGCAGCTGGGGTAAGCATTACCCCGCTGAGCCTCAGCAGTAGAGGAGGGGGCTGCCCTCCTGGCCTTGATCCCTGAAAGGGTCCCAGCAGAGGGAGGCACCAGCAGGGCCTCAGAGGATCTGAGTTGACAGAAGAGGAGGAGGCGTTTCCTCTGCATCAGTGATGCACACTTGCCCCAAGGTGGCCAAGAGCCAGGACCTCTAAGCCTGGTGAGCATAGAGAAGCCCAGTGGGCATCCTCCAGGCAGAGGATTCCTCCCCGCACCCTGCCTCCTTCCTCCCTCCTTCGTCCTGCCCATGTCAAGCATGAGGCGGAGATCATAGCATACCTGAGGAGGCCGGGAATCACCATTGGCCAATGCCACGCCTTGGCTTGCAGTGATTCTCCAACCAGACAGATCATCAGAGTCCCCAAGAAGATTCGCAGCCCTGCTCCAACTCCTGCATCAGCACCACTCAGGACAAGCCTGCTGGTGGGGCTGTTTTACAAGCTCCCCAGCCAACTCAGACTGGGAAGGCAGGAGGCAGCTTAGGGGGCTGAGGAGGGGGGCAGAGAAGCTGAGGGGAGAGAGGGGGCTGCTGCAGGGCCCCCAGCCCTGGGTGGACAAGCCAGAGCCACAGGCTTCAGGGCAGGAGGAAGGAAAAGTAGAGCCCCACTGAGCCAGGACAGAGCAGCCTGGAATCGGGGCAAGCAGGGGCAAAACCTTGGGCAGGATATTCAGCCTCTCTGAGCCTCAGTTTCCTTGTCTGGGAAATGGGAATAACAGCCCTGCGTCACAGGCATATTAGGGGATTTGAGGCCAAATAAATAAAGCACCTGGCAAAGGCTGGTGGCTAGCGTTATGTTTATGAGCAGGTGTTTATAAAGCACCTACTGTGTGCCTGACACTGTGCTGGGCACTCAGACTCAAAGAACAAGACAGAGAAGCCCTGGAGACATAGTCTTCTGGGGGAGAAGGTGGTAAAGACAATCCCAATACACTAAAGTCAGGCCACGATGGGGTGCTGGGGCCCTGCAGAGAAACAGAGGGAGCAGGGTTCCTGGGGGAGAACGAATGTCCAGGCCCAGGCTCTGCCCCTGTGACGGCTCCAGGGATCTGGGGAAATCTGTGAGTGCCAGGCCCACCTTCGGGGGTCCTCTCCCCTCCTGCAAGTTTGACGCCCCCCTTCTGAAGGTGGGGCTGTCATAGCCCTTCACAATCCAACCACAGATCTGCAGCTTCTGCCTTGATGATGGGGTGAAACATTCTGTGCAGTGGGCAGGGTGGCTGTGGACGAACTGTGAGTCCTTCCATGAGTCCCATAGCTGGGTCCCCAGTCCAGCCCAGGCACATGTCCTCAGCAGCCTGGACCCACTTGGGGTGCCTGTTCTGCACAAACAAGGGGCCCGGACTCCTGTATGAGTCTCAGGAAACCCCCAAGAGGGGCTCCCATTGCCCCCACCCCAGGAGTGTGAGCGGGAAGCTGGTGCCTCCAGGGAAGGCTGCAGACCCCAGGGGTTGTGGGAGAAAGAGTGGGCCTCTCTCAGGGATGTTTCTTCAAATGGTCACTACAGCTCAGGGTGAGGACGGGTCTCTGTCAAGCTCAGTTATCCCCTCGGCTCTGTGCATGTGGGGAGACCTGCCTGGCTCTGCTCCCTCTGTTCCCCTCATCTCCCCAAAACCTTGGTTGCCACAATAGACCCACACTGCATAAGGGCTGAGGGACTGTTGTCAGTCCCTCAGGTCCCCTTGGGGCAGGCACTGTCTCTTGGGGTCAGGACCGGTGTCTCCTCCTTTCCCTGGACTCAGTGCAAACCAGACGCAGAGCGATGTCATGCCATGGATGAGTGTCCCCCACCACATCCGTCTCCGTAGAAGACATGCTGCCAGGTCAACCCCTGCAAGGGGGGTCCGGAGGCAGCTACCACTGGCATGGGTCTGGCCTGAGAGTCTTATATGTGTGTCCATCACACGAGACCAGGTGTGGCAGCTCTACAGGGTAACCACATATCCGCAGCTTCTGCCTTGAGGACATTCTGTGCAGTGGGCAGGGAGTGTGTGGACGAACTGTGAGTCCCTCCTTGAGTCCCATAGCTGGGTCCCCAATCCAGCCCAGGCACATGTCCCCAGCATCCTGGGCCCACTTGGGGTCCTTGGACAAAGTCACTCAAGTCTCCCCACCAGCCCCTGGCAACCACTGCCTCTACTGGCTCAGCTCTCTGGGCACACCGGGGGGCTCCCCCATTCTGGCCTCCTGAGCCTCCCACCCACTCACTTTGTGGAGAAGGGCTTCTTCCCCAGCAGAGGGGCACAGTCTGGGGCTGTCTCTGGTCCTTCCCACACTCTGACCCCTCCTCACTCACGCCATCAGTAATTGTGGACCCCAGGCTCTACAGGAGGGAGAGATAGCCCTGCCTGGAGCCTGAGGTGGGGGAGGAGCTGGGGCTTGGCTCCTCTTCCCAGCACGGAAGCGGGGCCCACTCCCCTCCCGTGCCCGTCTCCACTACTGACCCCTCAGGCTGTGGGACAAGGGCTGAGTCACTGCTCCTTGGAGCCTCAGTGTCCCCATCCACACAACAAGGCGCCTTCCCCTAGACCCTCCCTGCTTCCGGGGACTATTCAGACAAATGAAGTCACCCTCCAGAATGAGCCATCTGCAGCCCAGGGCTGTTCTTCTGGTTGTGGCGGGGTGTATGGTGGGGGCCTGGTGCAAACAGTGCCTCCCTCCTGCCCTCCATGGCCCCACATTTGCTGCCAGAGAGCAGGGAGACGTCAGCCTCCAACGGAGCAGAGCTTGCCCTTGCTTTGAGTCGTGCAGATGCCGCTGCAGGTGCAAGTCCCCGACTCCAGGCAGCCATCTACCCTGCAGAGAGAAACACTCTCCCGGGATGTCATAGCTCCAAGGTCCAGGGAGGGCTTGTGACCAGCCCAAAGTCACCCATACCCCAGTGGTCAGTACCCACCCCCATCCCTGGCCTCTGCCAGTCCCAAACCCCCACCAACCCAGGCTCAGAGGGCTCTGGTCACTCCCATTCTCCTCGGACCTGGGCCCCACCCCCAGCCTCCAGGCACCAGGAGAGAGAGGGTGTTTGGGGGCCTTGGTCTGATTCCGCAGCAGCAGAGACACCACAGGTCCAGCAGTGAGGACGTGGAGGCACCCTCCTCCCACTAACCCCCTGCTTGAAGAAAACCAGGAAAGCAGGCCAACCCACCTGGCAGTTTCCAGATTTACTACAAGGAAGATTTCCAGGTGTCAGGCTCACCTCCCACAGACTGCTCCCCACAGCCACGTTTGCTGCCACCAGCAAGAGCTGGCGTTGGTCAGCTCATAGAGGGTGCCGGGAGTGGCTGGAGCAGGACTGTTCCTTCTCATTTTCCTAGGAGGCAGTTTCTACCCTCCCTCACACCACCCCTGTCCCTAGTGGGGAACCAAAGAGGATCCAGACCGCCAGGGAGAGTGGCACTGCTCCCTGGGCACAGCCACCCCATCTGCAGTGCCCCCCACTCTGCCCTGTCCGCATCCTGAGCAACAGCTGACCATGTGAGGAAACATCCTTGAGAGAGGCCCCACCCTTTCTCCCATACCTGCCTGGGGTCCGCAGCCTTCCCTGAAAACACCACCCTCCCGCTCACATTCCCAGGGCAGAGGCAATGGGAGCCCCTCTTGGGGATTTCCTGAGACTCACACAGGAGTCGGGGCCCCAATCACCCAGCCTGCCTCCCCCACCCACCCTCCCTTTGTGCTTATCCCAGCCCTTGCCCACCTCCTGCCCCATCTAGGGGGAGGGCACAGCCCACAGGACAGGAAGGAGCAACTGATTGAGTGAGTCATCTCTGAGGATTCGGGCTCCCACACCTGAGATCTTCCCATCCATTTACGGATGGAAAAGCAAGGCTCAGTCAGGGGAAGTGACTGCCTAACTTCCCGAGGTCACAGAGTTACTCACAGGGCAAGCAGTGGCGACCTAGGACCACACCTGATACACCGCCTCCACCCCGGGTCTAGCGCAGCCTGGACCACCCCCTGAAAATCTCCAGCCCTTGGGAGATGCGAGCACCCCCCTCCAAACTCTCCCCAGACTTACTCTTTATGCTGGTCTAAGCTGACCTCTGACCTGCCAGTCAACAACGGGGTCTCCACGCACCATCTCCCCCCACCCTCACTCCTTCCCATTTCACCCTTTTGTCCCCAGTGCCCACTTCAGCGGCCAGAACAAGGACACATTTCATAGCTGAGTCAACGAGCTTTATTGTCATCACGCAGGGAAGCATGGCGAAGGGACTGAAGCAGGGGGCTGAGGGTGGAGAGGCCGGAGACCGCGGGGCAGATGGGACCGCTGCCTCCCTGCCTCCTGGGGGGCCGGCCGGGAAAGCTGAGTCCTCAGCGGGTGGTCTGGCGGACCTGCTCGCGGGAGGAGATGACCTTACCATCCTGGACCTCTTCCACAATGGTAGGCACCTGACAGGTGGTCACCGCTGCAGGAGAAGCAGGCAATTTAAAGTGGGTAGGGGCCAGGAGGCCCTCGCTTGCCCCCTAGCCCTCATGGACAGGAGCCGGCTCTCTCCCTCGTCCTCCCCCAGGTGCTGTGAGTGCCTCCACTGGCACCTCAACATCACACTGCACACACATCCCTCCTGTCCCTGCCACCGCCTCCCTTCCATCCCATCCCTCTGCCGGTGGCCCTGTGTGAGTCTTGCCTCCGCAGATGGGTTATTTGATTCTGACCCAGTGTGTCCTGCCAGGGAGGAGCCATGTAGACTCCATGAAATCCATCTCCATTTCTCTGCAGTCTCCAGGGCATAGATTTGCTCCCATCTCCCCCATCAGACTGGGATCGCCAAGACAAAAACCAGGCCCCTATCTCCTCCATTAGACTAGGAACCCTGGGGCTAGCATCATATCTTCTCCATCAGACTGGAATTTGGAGGACAAGGAGCATGTCCCTATTTCCCATCAGGCTAGAGTCCCCAGAGACAGGACTGCTTTCGCTCATCCAAAAGCTGTCAAGAGCATAGATCATGAGACCATGTTCCTATCTTCCCATCAGATGACAATCTCCAGAGGTGGGACCTGTCTCCTCCATCAGACTAGGATCTCCAAGGTAAGGACCAGTTCCCTGGCCCACCCCATCAGACCAGACAGCATCTCTCTCATTTGATCTTTTCCTGAGTATCAATCCTCAGTGCTAACGGGTCACTTCTCCCACCCCTGCTGAGGGACAGCCATCAACTCCTAGAACTCCTGGGGACCCAGCTCCAGCAACGTGCAGGTGGGCTGCCTGTCCCATGCACCCAATCCCCAAGGCCTCAGCCACCAAGATGCTTATGTTCTTTCTTGTACTGAGTCAGGCTGAAAGAAAAAAAAAACAGAGAGGAAATTAGATGTGAGTCTGAGAGCCCCACCCCTGCCAAGAGGCCCCCAGCCCTGACCCCAGGCTCCCCCACTCACTGGGCATCCTCGCCCTCCAGCAGGCGGTGGTAGGTGGTGATCTCCAGCTCCAGCCGCATCTTCATGTCCAGGAGGATCTTGTACTCCTGGTTCTGCTGCTCCATCTCGCAGAGAAGCTGGGCCAGCCGCTCCTCCACACTGCCGATCAGTCCCTGGATCTGGGACAGCTGCATGCAGTAGCGGTTCTCTGTCTCCGCCAGGTTGCCCTCCAGGGATGCTTTCTGCAGGAGGGCAGGAAGACCAGGGGTCAGTGAGGGTTGTCAGTGTCCTCTTCTGGGCCCATCCCCATGCACAGGACTGTTCCTACCATGCTGAGCTGGGACTGCAGCTCGATCTCCAAGGCCTGCATGGTGCACCGGAGCTCCGAAATCTCGCTCTTGCCGCTCTGGACCAGCTCACTGTTGGTAGCCACCTCGCGGTTCAGCTCCTCTGTCTGCAGACAGAACACAGGACAGGGTGGTGTGAGCCTGGATCCCTCTCCTCAGTCAGGCCTCCTCCCAAATCTAACTGTGGACAGAGTGATGCCTTCTCACCAGCTTCCCACGTCCCAAAGCCCAGAAACATGCCATTTGAAATGTTAACTTTTTATGGTTAATCCCTGCGTGTGGGAGGCACAGACCGGAAACTTGAGAACCAGCCAGAACATGTAGCCTGGCTCTTGGTGCTAGTTTCTGACTTCTTGAGAGAGAGGTGGGGACTCCCAAGGTCTTTACCCTCTGCCTTTATTCTGTGGGGGCTCCCTAGCTCCCCACTCACCCCCCAGATCCCAGCTTGAGCTCAGCTCCAGGTCTGTTGATGCAGTGGGTGACCCTGTGGTCCATGCAGCTTGCTGAGGAGGGAGCATCTCCAAGACACCTGTCCGTGGGCCTACTGTCAGTGCTAAGGCCCCTGAGCCCCAGCCCCGAAGAGAGACCTCTGGCCTGCAGCAGCTCCCACCTTGCTGAAGAACCAATCCTCGGCATCCTTGCGGTTCTTCTCTGCCATCTTCTCATACTGCTCACGCATCTCGTTCAGGATGCGGCTCAGGTCCACACCTGGGGCAGCGCCCATCTCCACATTGATCTCACCGCCCACCTGGCCTCGCGGGGCGTTCATCTCCTATGGAAAAAGGGGATGTGGATGTGCGCATCTGGACCCATCCTGATCTCTCACTCCCAAGCCTTCCCCCACGAGGTGACCCCATTCCCCACAAGGACCCCTCCTTTGTTCTTCCTCTGCTCTATCTGACCCTCTAAATGATTTTTATTCATCTGCTCAGTATTGCCTCCACCATCAGACTCTATCTCCCCCATTAGACCAAGGGCTCTCCAAAATAAAATCTAATTATTAGGCCTATGCCCCAAAAATTTCCCCTCTAATTTCCAAGCTTCTGTGTAGATGTTCAGCTTTGAGAGTTTGAAATGGGACAAGAAGGAGACTTCCTTACTTATCCCCTGCCCTCATCAGGGAGGCCAGGGCAGGTAGAGGGAGCCTCTGCGGGCCCCTGGGAGGTTCCTTGGGTACAGAGAAGCAGTGTGGTACAAAGAGGAGTCTGCCCTGCACGCTGGACCCCAAGGATCAGGGCTCCGCAGACAGGGAAGCCCTCTAAGGTGACTAATCCCAGTGCGCCTGCTGTGCTCTCTCGCACGGCCTCAGCCATGGCCCAGCCCCAGGGCTCTGCCACCCACTCCTCAGCATCTTTGACCTTCTGCCCCAGCCACCTCACCTCGTGGTTCTTCTTCAGGTAGGCCAGCTCCTCCTTGAGGTTCTCAATGTGCATCTCCGGGTCGGCTCTGGCCAGGGTCAGCTCATCCAGCACCCTGCACGGGCCATTGATGTCGGCCTCCACACTCAGGCACAGGGCCTGCTCTGTCTCAAACCTGCCATGGGAATCAGGGACTTCAGCCCAGGCTGCTTGGAATTGCAGGTCCAGGTCCTGGCTGCTCACCTGCCTTCATTTTGCCAGGACTCTAAGGGGTTGGAAGGGCTGATGAGAGGGTCGAGTGGAAACGAATTCCAGCCCCGGGGCCTTGGGACCATCACAGGGCCAGATCCTACGCCCACCAGCTTCCTTACTTCTCTCTGCCTCCTGCCTCCCCTCCCTCTCTTCTATTCCCTGCCTAAGCCCAGCAACCTTCAGAACTGGCTGCCTTCACTGCATCCTGGACTAAGTAGTGGGGCTCCTAGGATTGCCCCACCCTGAGCTCCTGGGCCTTGCCACAAGCAACCAAGGAGTCCTGGGGTCAGGAGGGGTACCCTGAGATCCTCCCCCAGCTGACCCAGGCTGCCCAAGCCCACAGCTAGGACTCACTTGGTGCGGAAGTCAGCAGCAGCCAGATGGGCATTGTCATTCTGTAGCAGGATGTTGGCATTGTCCACGGTGGCTGTGAGGATCAGCGGAGATGGGAGAGTAGTCAGGTCATCGGATGGGGGTGGCTGAGCCCACACCAGAGTTCTGAACAGATCTTCCTGCCTGGGGGCCTCTCTTCCCGCCCAGCCCCTCCCTTGCCCCGTGCTGTATTATTGGCAGAGGAGGGGCAAGCAGGAGTCTGAAGGGCTCAAAGGTGCCTCTTCTTCCCCCGCTACTCAGTACCCCACCAGACCCCCATGCCAGGCTCAGCCTTAAAGGAGAAGAGACAGCTGGCTGGGAGTATGAGGCAACCAGAAAAGAAAGGGAAAATGTCCCCAGGGCAGAAACTGTCCCAGAATTCTAGAACAAGGGAGGGGATGTGGGCAACCCCCTCGTTTTACAGTCAGCTAGAGGGTGCCCCTGACAGGCTCCCCCAAAAGGAGGCTAAAGGAGCCCTCACCAAAGAGTGGTCCCAAATCAGAAGTCAGGACCCTTCCTAATCCCTAACCCTGGGCTCCAGCCAGCAGCCCCGCCCCCTGCGGTTTGCTGAGCCTGTCTTAAGGGACAGCAGGAGGAAAGGAGAAGCCAGAAAAATCCCCAAATAAGGCACATCAGAGGCCTTCCCCACCCTGAGGTCCCACCCCCTCCTTTCTGCCTCCCACCCGCAGCAGGTGCTATCGGGAGCTCACTCAGACACCCCCACTCCACACCTCCCAAAACCCCTTCCTGCTGACCCCTGCTCCAAAGGAGCAAGACACCACGCATCCAGTGGCCCATGGGCCCAGCCCTCCATCTGCATCCTCCTGCCTCATCCTACAACCTCTCCAGGTGGAGGAGCTCCACGAGGGAGAAACTGAGTCTCCAAGGGGCTCCACGAGGCCTGTTTGTTCCTGACTCAGCCTACTGCCCCCAGAAAAGGGGGATGTGGGCCACACAGGGGCCCCAAGGCAGGTTCCCAGAAGCTAAGCCACAGCCAAACCACCCTTGGCTCCCTGAGACCCTATGGCTGGACTCCAGGCCTTTGGCCAGGGCAGGAGTTGGGGGGAAAAAGTCATGCCCCCCGGAGACCCCTCCCACCAGCAGGCCCTACCTTGTTCTGCAGCTCCTCGATTATCCTGTAGTACTGGCTGTAGTCACGGGCGGGCCCCGGGGCCTGCCTCTGGTACCAGTCACGGATCTTTACCTCCAGCTCAGTGTCGGCCTCCTCCAGGGCACGCACCTTGTCCAGGTAGGAGGCCAGGCGGTCATTGAGGTTCTGCATGGTGGCCTTCTCACCTCCGACCAGCAGCCCATCAACGCCCTCAAAGCTGCTGCTGCCATAGCCACCGCCAGAGCCAAAGCTGTAGCAGCTGGAGTAGCTGCTACCCCCGAGGGCGCTGCCCAGGCCACCAGCAGATCCCGGCCTGCAGGAGCCGGCACCCAGGCCGCCAGACAGCTGGCAGGAGGTGCGGGACGAGCCGCCCCCCAGGCCAGAGGAGCCCTTGATGGAGCTGGAGGAGGTGAACTGGCGGATGGAGGTGGTCATGGTGGCGGCGGCAGGAGGCAGGCACACAGGAGAAGGGCTGGAAAGAAGAGGGGCCCCAAGTAGTGTAGGGCTGCCGGGGTTCACAGGCTTCCTTTATAGGCCACCAAGTGGGCGTAGCGATTACAACAGGCTCCTCTGTTTCCCTTCCCCTGGGCTTTCATCACCACGGGCCACCTGCCAGCTCCCAGGTGGCTGGGGACCCCCTCCCCACCCATCATCAGGAATTTGCCTCATTTCTCCAAATCCTCGTGCTGGGTGCCACGCGTGTGCGTGCCACTGCTCTGAGGCCCGTCACCTGTGATTTGGGCGGGCCCTCCAGCTATGCTTTCCCATGACCTAATATGGGAGAAGAGGAGAATACAGGACTTCACCGTCCCCAGGCCCTCCCAGGCAGCCACCACCCCAGCCCGGCCCACCTCAACCCTGTCTGGTGGGGAAATGGGTTGCAATGTCAGGTGACCACCCCCTGAAGTTGCTGTCTTTCACCCCACACTGCTCCACCCAAGGTGCTGGCCCGGGGCTGGGTGCTGAAGAGAAAGAAGGGACCGAGAGCCTATCCTGCCTTGGAAACTGAGCCCAAACCCACCAGGCCCACCTCACAGCATAGAAATGCCATCAAGCCTCGGAGACCAACCCACATCGCAGATAAAGAAATTGGGGCTCCAGAGGGGTGCAGTGTCCACACTGGCCCCTTCTGCAGAGTCTGACACCCAGGAATGCACTCTAGGGGCTACAGTTCCATCCAGTCAGCTTCTGACCCTGCCCCATCCCTAGAAGCCCTTGCTAACCCAGTCTCCTCGTGTAAACCTTTCCCCAGGTTTACACTCCAGGCTGGGGTGGGCAAACAGGGGCTCAGCTATAGGATGGGGGAAAGGTGGGCCGTGCTAAGAGAGGATCTAAACCAACTGAGAGGGGGATGCCCCCTTCCACTCCTCTCACCCTTCTGTACCCCAAGAGACCTCAGGGTCAGGGGAGGGGCATTTCTCTCAGGTCTCAGCCCACAGGAAACCTAAAGGACATTGCCCAAGAAGAGGCTCTTACAGAGACCCCAGCCAGCCAGCCCCCTCCCCACTCCAGGCTCCCCAAGATGTGGCTCCTCGGGCGGGCCAAGTGCCCCACTCCACAGCCCCACCCTGCCCTGCCCACCACCCCAAGCCCCGCCCTGGGTCCCAGGGTCCTGCCAGGCCCGCTGGGTGGAAGGTGGTCATGTTTCAGACTGCCAATGGCTTCCACTTCCCAGACAGGCCCAGGTAGCCCCACCAGCAGCGGAGAGAGATTCCTCAATAGCCCAGTGGCTGCCAAGCCACCAAAGCAAACAGGACACCCCCCATGCGTACACGCACAGCGGCCACCCTGCCCCACACACACCCCGAGCTGGGCAGAGCCGGTCTGCTTTCCTGGGCTAGCTGCCTCGCTCTCACCCCCTCACTCATCAGTGCCCTGGACCACTCCTTCAGAAGCCCCTCCCCACCGAGCCCCTCTCCTTCTGCTCTTGAACCCACCCTGGGCTGAGGCAGGGAGTGCTCCCCAACAGGTGTGGTCCTTGGAAAGTATGTGTGGCCCTCCCAGGGACCAGCCACAGGTGACAGGGACTCAGGGGCTGATTCTTAGAAACTTTTCCCAATACAAGGGGCTGTCCCTTCCCTCCACCCTTAATCCTTCCTCCTCCTCCCCTCTGGTCTTCTAGGAGCCCCAGGCCTGGATGGAGTGGGCAGAACAGATTGGCAGGTGACAAGCCAATACCCAAACACTCAATAAACTCTCCACCTATCCCAGTCCCTCAGCCCACACTGCCCCAAACCAATGAACAGACCAGATCACACGAGGCATTGAACTTGGAGCAAAGCTTTAATAGCAGGCACTGGACAAACCCAGGAGGCCTCCTCAGTGAGGGGCTGCAGAAAGTAGATACAGAAAGACAACAGGTCATGGACCAGTGCCCAGACGGACACTCGGGGCGTGGCAGTAGCATGCTGGGAGCTGCAGCTGATGGCTGTGCCATGACCCTCGAGGTGGGGCTGTCACAGGCAGAAAGGGGCCTCAGTGGGTGGAGAGATGGACCTGCTTACAGAAGACCACCTCTCCAACCTGGACTTCCTCCACGATGGCACACCTGGTGGCTGGTCACTGTGGCTGCAGGCGATGGAGGAGGGAGGCACAGGGAACATCAGGCAGGAGCTCTTCCCCCCACCTGCCCGAGTCTGTGGTCCCCCCAGTCTCCCACACAGAAGGGTCCTCAGCCTCTCCGCCGCCTTGGGGTCCACACAGCAGGACAGGGCAGCTTCTTACCTTCCCAGGTGGGCTGCGAGGCCAGGGACAAGGAGTACTGAGTGGCCAGCCTGCAGGGAGAGGAGCACCCATCGACCCAGGGATGCCAGCCAGCCCAGGCCCCTGCAAGCACTGCTGGGGAGAAGCAGGCCCTGGCAGAGGAGGTTCCCCTAAATTGGTGAAAAATCACAGTTGGGAATGCACAGAAATTAGCACAGGCCCAAGAATGAAAGGGCAGGGGTTCAGTGCAGCAGGAAGAAGAAAAAGAAACAGCACAGCAGTAGGCCTGGAGGCACTCACCAGGAATTTACAAGGAGAAGCTGAGCAAGTGGTTTTTCCATGTCCCAGAGGACCCAACAAATAGACCCAATTAAAGCAGGAGAGACTGTCGTTAGACTATAGATGGACTTCACCATTTTCGGGGAGCAAAAAGCTGCAACGTGTGACTAAGCATGGAGACTCCAGGACACACTCAGCTGAAGGCCTGATCACCCTTCCCAACTGCAAACCCGACCACCACCCACCATGCTCTTCACCCTGTGGCTGATGGACTCACACAGTCATCGGAACCAGAAACCCAGGGCCATCAATGCCCACTCCTTCATATGTGTTCACCCAACGCTTACTGAGTCCTGACCGTGAGCCACGCTTACCCTGAGATCCAGGCATCCAGTCCTGCTGTTTTGAGCTATAACCTCTCTTCTGCGTGCACCACCTTCCTTCCCCTGCCCCCCCACCCAGCCTCCACCCCGCAAGACTTCTCTGGCCAGACTCCCTGCTCTAGCCCCCTGACGCGTCTCTCTGGCCCCACCCTGACCCCTCTGATCCATTTCTCCCTCTGTAGCCAGAGTGAATGTTCTAAAATATCTTGATGTTCATTCCCTTCTTCTGCTCCAAATCCCTCCATGGCTCCCCATTGCCTACGTGATCTAGTCCAGACGCTTTAACTTGGCAGTCAAGGCTCCTCAGTCAGACTCCAGCCTGCATCGTCAGTTTCACCTCCTGCAAACCCCACAGGTTCCCACATTCACACCTCCTGAACTTTGCTGGTGCTCAGACACCAACTTCTCCCTGGGTGAAGTGGGCCCCCAGCCCGCCCCAGCAGGTACCTGGGTGCACACTCACTGGGCGTCCTCAACCTCTAGCAAGCGGCTGTAGGTGGCGATCTCCTGCTCCAGCCGCGTCTTCACGTCCAGAAGGACCTGGTGCTCGTGGTCCTGGTGCTCTGCATCACAGCAGAGCTCGCACAGCTGCTGTTCCATGCTTCTGATGAGCCCCTGCAGCTGGGCCAGCTGGGTCCTGTAACACACCTCCGTCTCCACCAGGCTGCCCTCCAGCGATGCTTTCTGTGGGCCAAGAGATAGGTGGTGCGATGAGATGGACGTGGGACCCTTCCCCATGGCAGAGCACTAGAGAGGAGCCCCTCCTGTATGGAGCTGTGGGTGCTGCCGGCACAGTTGGGTGGTAGTGCACCCAGCCACTGAGTGTGAAGGGACAGGCTGGGTGGGGACTCTGGTTCTCCAAGCAGGGGTCTATAAGGCTGCGCTCACCCTGGGGTGACAGGTACAGGGTGGGGAGGGGACAGGGGCCCTACCTTGCTGAGCTGGGACGGCTCAGGTTCTGCACAGAGATGTAGAGCTCCACATCTCCATCCTGCCGCTCTGCAGGGCCTCTGTGTTGGTGGCCACCTTGCAGTTCAGCCCCTCTCTCTGGAAGGCAGAGTGGGCCACAGGGGTTTATGGAGACTTTCACAAGTGGGGCACAGGAAAGGGGCTGTTCCTGAGCCCTCGCCTCCCAGAACCATCCCCTAAACCCTCCCTGGCCTCTATGGGGCCCCAAAAGCACCTGCACACAAAGACTCTCTGCACCCATGTTGGACCTTGGAGGAATTCAACCTGCTCTGCGGTCGTTTGCATTTCTTACTCCTACCGAACTACAGCACCTCAAAGACAGGCACTGGGTGTTATTCTTTTGCACCTGTTGCTGTCCCTAGGACACCGGACACACTCAGCCTGTGCTTGCCAAGGGTATGTGTATGTACTCAAATACACACATCCTGTAAACAGCTGTGGTGGAAACCCAAGACCAGACTTGCAGAGAACGGGATCTATTTTGCAGGCCACAGTGAAGGGCTGTGTGAGCTTGAGTCCTCTCTGAGCCTCACATTTTACATCGAAGACATGAAGGGCTGGTCCGACTGGTTTCCAAAAGTCCTTCCAACTGGGACAGCCTGTGAATCTGCCGGTGTTCCAACTGCACCAGCACACGGCGTATGTGCCCACACGTGTGCACACCTGCTTACACACGGCCACCCACCACGCTGAAGAACCAGCCCTGGGCATCCTTGCAGCTCTTCTCCACCAGTTTCTTGTCCTGGTCACGCATCTCATTCAGGATGCAGCTCAGGTTCACTCCAGGCACAGTGTCCATCTTCACACTGACATCCTTGTCCACCTGACCTCAAAGGGCGTTCATTTCCTGGGCAGAGAGGACAGTAGGAACTCACCCAAGGCCATCCTGGGGAAAGACCCTGGGGCCTGCCTTCTCTCCCTGGGAGAGACAGGTACGGATGACAGACAGACAGACAGACAGACACAGATAGGCCAACAGCTCCTCACCCTGAAGGTGGAGATGGATGTTGTCATTACTCAAACATACAGGGCTATGAATATCAGCAACCTCCCCCAACACACACTGTGACTCGGGACTGGACTTCACCCATCCCCAACAAGTGCTAAGCCCCAAGAGATGACAACCCCCCAGCACGGCAGAGAATGACCATGGGCGACCTCACTCACTGCCCTGGCCTCGCCCCTACCACCGCCTTGCCCCCACCACCAACCCCACAGCACAGGCATGCAAAAAGCAACCTTACGCTGCTGTCACCGCGCCAGGCCCTGTTAGCAAATGTTAATCTGCTAGAGGAAAGGAATTGTATAACCAGCCTCAACGCCAGGGGGAAACACCTTCCGGGTGTCCTGCTTCTCAGGGAGTAGGCTCCCCCAGCTTAGAGCAGCACAGAGCTCAGCTGAGAAGGAAGCCACAGGACAGGGCATGTAAGACCTCCTGACCGCCCCGGCAGGACCTTGGATCTCTATCCTTGGGTTGGAGTCCCTGGGACCTAGAACCTTCTGGAAAGGAGGGGCAGGAGAGGGGCAGAGAGGTGGGGTGGATACGAGTCCGACAGACCTGAAGGAGGGTCCCTGTGCAGCCATAGATATATCCCTTAACCTCTCTGAGCCTCAGTTTCTTCACAGGTCAAAAGAAAGAAACAGTACCTTTCTCCCAGTTTTTGTATCAGTTGAGATAATGGCTGTGAGTCACTTGTAGTGCTGGGCAGAAGTTCCTTGTTTTAATGACTATCACTATTATAATTAATTATAGTAATTAGTATTGTGTGTTCTTACACTGAGTTACTCATTAGTTAGTTAACTGCAGTGAGCTGAGCCTCAAGGGACAAATGAAGTCTATTTGAGAAGAGGGCTCCTCCAGGCCTCACCCAGGGTCCTCTGAGGGTCAGAGCTAGGCATCCATAAAGGATGGGAACTGGACTGGAAGCATGGCCCAGCCCAGGGAGGTTCTGGGCCCCAGCCTCGCTTGCTTCCAGGTGAATTTCTGCTGCATTCCCTGAGCTGAACTCACCTCCTCATGGTTCTTCTTCAGGTAGACCAGGTCCTCCTTGAGGTTCTCAGGCTGCATCTCCAGGTTGGCTCCAGGCAGGGTCAGCTTGTCCAGCCCCTGGGGCAGCTCCAGAGACCCAGCCTCACTTGGTGCAGAAGTCATCGGCAGCCAGGTGGGCATCATCCACCTGTAGCCAGTATGAAGCTGGAATTACCGATCACAGCCACCACGATCGGGGAGAGACGTGGGCTCCATGAGAAAATGCCCTTGGCGGCCTCCAGGAGACCCTCCAACATCCTTCTTGCAGCCTTTTTGGAAGTGAGCCAGGGTGGGGGTGATGAGAGTCCCCGTGGTCTTCTCTGACCCTCCTGGGAATTTCTGGGACCCAGCCAAGGCCCTCGGGGGTTAAAGGGTGATGGGGGTAGGATGCCCAGGCATGGGTAAAGACGGATGCCAGGAGAGAGACCCTTATGCAGCCGTCTCCCACTATGGGGGTCATGGCCTAAGCTGCCTAGGCCTCACTCCCTCTTCCCCAACGAAATTCACCTCTAGGCTCAGCTGCCACCTCCTCCAGAAAGCCCTCTTGGATTACCTTTCTGTGTCTCTTTTCCGGGCCATACCTCCTGCCTTCTCCAGCCCGGGTGCACACTCACTGGGCGTCCTCAACCTCCAGCAAGCGGTGGTAGGTGTCAATTAGTTCAACTTCTATGGAAAAAGTAGGGAGGTATCTCAAAGAACTAAAAGTACAACTACCTTTCGACCCAGCAATCCCACTACTGGGTATCTACCCAAAGGGAAAGAAATCATTACATAAAAAGGCACTGCACTCCCATGTTTATCGCAGCATAACTTACAACAGCAAGGTCATGGAACCAAGGTAAGTATCCACCAACGGTTCATTAAATAAAGAAAATGTGGTGCATATACACCACAAAGTACTAGGCAGTCATAAAAAAGAACAAAATCATGTCCTTTGCAGCAACACAGATGCAGCTGAAGGTCATTATCCTACGTGAATTAACGCAGAAACAGCCAAATATTGCATGTTCTCATGTATTAAGTGAGAACAATGGGTACACAGGGAGCCCAGGCTATTTATTTGTGCTCAAACAAAGAAACAGGTGGTGAGGCTGTGGGGGTTTAAAGGAATCAATGTATCAAGTGAGTGAGCTACAGCTGCGATGGTGTAGCATTTTCTTTGAAACATGTGGCTACTTGAGATAATGGGAGTGCTAGAAGCAAGGAGTCAGCAAGTCTAGCAGACATGCAAGCCCTGCCTCAGCTTCTCTCCCAACACTCAGCTTTTCTCCCAACAGGACAGAGTAAGCAGCAGTAAGTCTCGAGCCTTAGGACCAGAGGGGCCCCAGTGCCCCTTGGTCAGGATGCTGAGCCCAGAGAGGGCAAGATCCTGACTTGAGGTCACAGAGCAGCAAGCCCTGGCAGAACTAGCATTCCTTTTGGAGAAATTCAGAGTTCATGGTCCCCAGGAGTCATTCATTTACTCATGCATTCATTCGGCAATTACATATTGAGCATCTACTATATGCCAGGCCAACTTCTAGCCCCAGCATACAGCAGTGGATAAGACAAACCAATTCCCACCTCAAGGAGCTGATGCTCTGGTCACAGAGACAGAAAACAAGTGAAGAAGATCACATTACATGATGCTAAAGGCTAGCAAATAAAATTACACCACATGGAATGTTGGAGTCACTCTGTCCAAATGGTGGCCACTAGCCCCATATGGCTATTTGAGTTTCAAGCAATTGGAGTAATTGAAAATTAAAGAGTTTAGCGGCCGGGCAATGGTGGCTTACGCCTGTAATCCCAGCACTTTGGGAGGCCAAGGCGGGCGGATCACGAGGTCAGGAGATCGAGACCATCCTGGCTAACACGGTGAAACCCGTCTCTACTAAAAATACAAAAAATTAGCTGGGCGTGGTGGTGGGCGCCTGTGGTCCCGGCTCCTCGGGAGGCTGAGGCGGGAGAATGGCACGAACCCAGGAGGTGGAGATTGCAGTGAGCTGAGATCACACCACTGCACTCCAGCCTGGGTGACAGAGTGAGACTCCCTCTCAAAAAAAAAAAAAAAAAAAAGAAAAGGAAGTAAACTGGGTATGTGGCAATAGTTACTTTGGTCCACAGATTTTTGGTATCTTAACTAGTTTTGGATCTCTTCCACTAAAGGGATTGCCTGTTGAACGTTGTTAGGAATGTAAATACTGAAGGCAAACTGCCTGGGTTTGAATTTTGTTCTGTCCCTTGCACCCTGCCTGGGTTCAAATCCTAGCTCTGCTTATTAAGTTCTTTTAAGGTGATGATCTTTGAGCAAATGTCTTAGCTTCTGTTTTCCCAAGTAAATGGACACAATAGTTGCTACCTTGTGAAAGATTCATGTAATTGACCAGTGTTTACCAAGTAGCATCAGTGTTCAGTTTCAGTCATTGGTGATTCTGCAGTTGGACTGTGATGGGGTGTTGGGGTGGGGGTGGTGTGTGTGTGTAGCACTTAATTGCACGCGGAAAGGAAAAGATACTTTTGATGACCCAGAGGCAGCTTTTCTCTGCTTTTGTGTCAAAAGGGAGGAATGGAGTTTGGAGAGGGAAACTAATTCTGTTCAATACTAAGCTCTCTTCCTCAAAATCAGAGGTACATAGAATGTGTAATAACTTACAGAATTTCTAGACTTCAACAATCTGAATTTTTTAAAATTCATTTTTATTTTTTCAGGTTGAGACTGAGCTAAAGTTAATCTGTGGCGACATTCTGAATGTACTGGACAAACACCTTATTCCAGCAGCTAACACTGGCAAGTCCAAGGTTTTCTATTATGAAATGTAGGTTCTATACTAAAAATTAACAAGTGTACTTCAATAATTTTAAACACGCTCAGGAATAATTGGCTTTGTTTCTTTTTTTCTTAGCTATTTCCTATTATTTTCCTTATTAAATATAACGAAAAATCCCACAGAAATTAACTGAGGAGCCTCTAAATATCAAGAAAATTATCACTTGATAGACTAGAATTAAACAAGCAAGTGGTTCCAAGAAATGGCACAAGTGTATTAATCATAAAATAAAATTTCTACATGAAACTTTCAGCCAGCACTGTGAAATGTGTGGCCGTTTAGGGGAGGGGAATGAGATAGGTCCCATGAAAGCAAAAGAATATAAATAGGTAAAGCAAAAGCTAATGCATTTTTTATAATAGCCTGACCATCTTTTTATCCCAACATTGACTATCCTTCTAACATTAAACAATTATTTTTAAATAAAAGTTGGAAACCTACATAGAAGAAAGTCATGATTCTAAAAAGGCCAACTTTTAATCTTACATTTTCCTTTCTAGTATAGAACCTACATTTCCTAATAGAAAACCTTGGACTTGCCAGTGTCAGCTACTGGAATGAGGTGTTTGTCCAGTGCATCCAGCACGTCGCCACAGATTAACTGTAGCTCAGTCTCAACCTGAAAAAATAAAAATACATTTAAAAAAATCAGATTGTTGAAGTCTAGAAATTCTGTAAATTATTACACATTCTATCTACCTCTGATTTTGAAGAAGAGAGCTTAGTATTAAAGAGAATTGGTTTCCCTCTCCAAACTCCCTTCTTCCCTTTTGACACAAAAGCAGAGAAAAGCTGCCTCTCGGTTATAAAAAGTATCTTTTCCTTTCCGCATGCAATTAAGTGCTACACACACACACCACCCCCACCCCAGCACCCCCTCACAGTCCAACTGCGGAATCACCAATGACTGAAACTGAACACTGATGCTGCTTGGTAAACACTGGTCAATTACATGAATCTTTCACAAGGTAGCAACTATTGTGTCCATTTACTTGGGAAAGCAGAAGCTAAGACATTTGCTCAAAGGTCATCACCATAAAAGAACTTAATAAGCAGAGCTAGTATTTTAACCCAGGCAGGGTGCAAGGGACAGAACAAAATTCAAACCCAGGCAGTTTGCCTTCAGTATTTACATTCCTAACAACGTGCAACAGGCAATCCCTTTAGTGGAAGAGATCCAAAACTAGTTAAGATACCAAAAATCTATGGACCAAAGTAACTATTGCCACTCATCTCTATTCATTTATAATGCTGAAAAGGTACAACACCTCTAAAGGCAGATACCCAGCTTGCTTCCTTTTTTTTTTTTCTTTTCTTTTTTTTTTTTTTTTTGAGACTGAGTCTCACTTTGTCCCTCAGTCTGGAGTGCAGTGGTGCGATCTCGGCTCACTGCAACCTCCGCCTCCCGGATTCAAGCTATTCTGGTGCCTCAGCCTGCGGAGTAGCTGGGATTACAGGCATGCACCGCCATGCCTGGCTCATTTTGTATTTTCAGTAGAGACAGAGTTTCTCCACATTGGTCAAGCTGGTCTTAAACTCCCGACCTCTGGTGATCTGCTCGCCTCGGGCTCCCAAAGTGCTAAGACTATAGGCGTGAGCCACCGCGCCCAGCCGAACATGTTTCTTATGTTTTGCAATATAGACAGGCTGAGGATTTTTCAGATATTCAAGCTGTGATTTCCTTTTTTTTTTGACAGACTCTTGCTCCATCACCCAGACTGCTGTGTAGTGGAGCGATCTTAGCTCACTGCAGCCTCCACCTCCCAGGTTCAACTGATTCTCATGCCTCAGCCTCCCGAGAAGATGGGACTACAGGTGCATGCCATCACACCTGGCTATTTTTTGTATGTTTACAAAAATAGTAGAGGCAGGGTTTCACTAAGGTGGTCTCCAACTCCTGACCTCAAGTGATCTGCCCTCCTCGGCCTTCCAAAGTGCTGGCATTAGAGGAGTGAACCACTGCATGTGGCCTGTGATTCCTTTTTAAGTATTATTTTATCTCTTTTCTCTTGCACTTTACTATAAGTGGTAAAGAGAAACCACACCATTCATTCATCACTTTGCTTAGAAATCTCCTCAGCAAAATATACAATTTCATCACTTGCAAGTTCTACCTTTCACAAAATATTAGAACATGATACATCCAAGTTCTTTGCCACTTTAAAACAAGGATCACTTTTCCTCCTGTTTCTAATAAGCTGCATCTCATTTCCATATGAGATCTCACCAGAATGGCCTTCAGCTTTCAGAATTTTACCAACATTCTATTCATGATGATATAGGCATTTTCAAAGCCAATGGAGAAATGCTTTTAAAAAATAGTTCACCTCTTTTCTTTCTGTAGCAGCACCGTAACTTAATTGGAAGGGGATACAATCCAGTCTGTCCGTAACAGTTGGTCACTATGGTTCCAAGCTTGAGTATAACTACAAAACATCTTTTTAAATCTCAAGACATTTAATAAAAAGAAATAATGTAGTTAGAGCAGATTACTAGATGAAATGCATGACAGATAAGGAATTGATGTAAGCACTATATTTCACTCAGGTCATTTTAAAACCACCATAATAACTATCAAATCATTGCACTGGGCCGGGCACAGTGGCTCATGCCTGTAATGCTGGCACTTTGGGAGGCTGAGGCGGGTGGATCATCTGAGGTCAGGATTTCGAGACGAGCCTGGATAGCCTGGTGAAAATCCGTCTCTACTAAACAAAAAATTAGCTGGGTATGGTGGCACAAGTCTATAATCTCAGCTACTCAGGAGGCTCAGGCAGGAGAATTGTTTGAACCCAGGAAGTGGAGATTGCAATGAGCCAAGATCGTGACACTACACTCCAGCCTGGGCAGCAAGAACGAAACTCTGTCTCAAAAAAAAAAAAAAAAAAAAAAATCATTGCATTGAATTGAATGCTCCAAAATTTTCTTCATTCTCAACAATAAATGGAGATAGGTGATTATAAGAACACAATTCAATATTGCTTGAAAACATTCCAGTAATTTCACTGGAAAAATGTTTATAACATAGAATATGAGCTTAATGATAAGAAACTTGTTTGCTCTGTTCAATACTGAATACTCAATTCCAATCACTGGGCCTGGTATGTGAAAAGAGCTTCTTGGTTTAAAAAATTTACTTAAATTGTCAATGAGTGAGGGAAAAATAAGACACATTTTATGTTATACTACCTACAATAGCAATAGAAATTGTTGAACAGATTTTACTTTTTAAATGCCGATTTTACTTGTAATCTATACATAAAAGGAAAATGGGATTAGGTTTTTATTAACTAGAAGAAGCTGTTACGAGAACGTCGACAGAAGTCTTCTATTTTCAAGTGCAATGTTATTCACATTTAAGAAACAACTTAGATATATAAATAAAAAATTTGTTGTGCAATAAAATTACAGTGCAAGACGAACCATAATCTGTACAAAGAATTAAAACCTAAATATGTCAACGGATCGTAAGTATCAAGTGACAACAAATGAATAGATTAATTTTTATAGGGCTCATGACCTCTGCTTATTACCTTTAAATGACTGCAAAAGATAAAATAACTCTTTTGGCAGGTTAATATTTGGATTTTATCGATCATAATCACTTATGCCATGGGTCCCAAAAAATGTTCCGGGCTGCATATATGTTCTGCATATGAATCTTGGAAGAATACTCATTTACTGTCAACAGTAGTTGTTTTAAAAAGTAAAATGACATTTTATGCAGAATTTTCTTCTTTTCCCTTAGCATGCTGTGTTAGTTTCCTAAGGCTAGGAACAGAACAAATGACTACAAACCGTGGGGCTTAAGACGACAGAAATTTATTTTTTCACCATTCACGAGGCCAGAAATTCAAAAAGGAGGTGTGAGTATGATTGATTTCTTTGAGAGGCTTTCAGGTAAAATCTCCTTCTTAGCTTCTGGTGGTTTCCAGCTGTCCTTGGCATTCCGTGACTGTAGGCAGCGTAACTCCAGACTCTGCCTCCCTTGTCCCATGGCCGTCTTCCCTGTAGGTCTCTGTATGTTCCCATGACCTTCCTGAAAGGACACAGCCATTGGCTTTACAGCCCACCCTAATGCATTGTGACCTTGTCTTAACCAAGTGTTATCTGCAGAGACCCTGTTTCCAAATAGTTTAACATTCCTGGGTTCCAGCTGGACATGACTTTCTGCGGGACACTATTCAACATGGGAAACATGCGTGTATTTTTTAGAACATAATGAGTTCTGCCTCTGTTATAAAGCCCCCTTTCTTTTCATTAGTGTTGATTATTATAAAATAGCATGGAGAGTTGACAGAGCTCTAAGTAGTTTTGTACAGCCACAGCATGGGAAACAAATGGGGGAGTGGGAAGAAATAAGATTTGATAAATAGTTCAGGGCAACATGATAGAAGGGCATGTACATCATGCTAAAAAAAAGTGATTGCTTTTTGTGGCAAGGAAGAACAATAAAAATTTAGAAATATTTATTAGGTGTCTATTCTGTGTTAATAATGTACAAATACATTCTGGGGATAATGAGCTGAAAAAGGTATATGGCTTCATGTGTATCACAGTGCAACAAGAAACCAATTCCTGAGACAGAAACAATTGGTAAAGGAGCACATTTGGTCATGCCTGTAATCCCAGCACTTTGGGAGGCCAAGGCGGGCGGATCACGAGGTCAGGAGATCGAGACCAGCCTGGCAACATGGCGAAACCCCGTCTCTACTAAAAAAATACAAAAAATTAGCCGGGCGTGGTGGCGGGCGCCTATAGTCCCAGCTACTAGGGGGGCTGAGGCAGGAGAATGGCGTGAACCTGGGAGGTGGAGCTTGCAGTGAGCTGAGATCTTGCCACTGAACTCCAGCCTGGGCAACAGAGAGAGATTCCGTCTCAAAAAACAACAACAACAACAACAACAAAAACCAGGAGCATATTTGGGTTTCTCAAGCTTGAAGTTGAAAAAAATTAGGTGGAAAACAGGTCTAGCCACGCTGAAATGTTCCTAGTGTAAACAAAGTAAAAGGAAAATCTCCTGATATCTCAATGGGAAAGCATGAAGAGATGACAGGAAATAGGTTCAGAGCTTTGCAACATTGTAAAGTGTTACCAGCGTTAACAATGTTCTTAGAAGAAAGAAAAACATTGGAAAATAAAAAGAGAAAGGTGGTTGGAGGTATAAAAAGGAGATGGAGGAAGAAAAGAATATACCAACTGGAAGAGCAAAAGTTGAAAACACACAAACTTATGAGAACATTTTAACTTTAACTGAGGAATGTTCAGTGACACAATAGAGCTCTCCCCATCTCTTCTCCCTTTCTCGGTGCTCTTTTTCCCCCACTATCTTCTTCCCCTCGCCCTCTCCCCGCTGTAGTTTGTTCTTCTTTTTTGAGATGGAGTCTCACTCTGTCATCCAGGCTGGAGTGCAATGGTGAGTTCTCAGCTCACTGCAACCTCCGCCTCCGGGGTTCAAGCGATTCTCCTGCCTCAGGCGCTGGAGTAGCTGGATTACAGGCGCTCGCCATCACGCCCAGCTAATTTTTGTATTTTTAGTAGAGACTGGGTTTCAGCATGTTGGTCAGGCAGGTCTCGAACTCCTGACCTTGTGATCCGCCCGCATCAGCCTCCCAAAGTGCTGGGATTACAGGCGTGAGCCACCGCGCCCGGCCTTGTCCTCATCGTCTTCTTTTCCACCCTCCTTTCTCCTCACCGTTTTCCTCCACTGTCTTCTCTACCACACTGTCTTCTCCCTGCACTTTCTCCCCACTGTCTTCTTCCCCACCTTTCTCCCCATCCCACTTTCCAAGGTCTTTCCCACCCTCTCCGTCCCCTCCTCCCCCTCTCCCCGCAGTCTTCCGGGCCCCACTGCCTTTCGCCCGCAGCCAACACTGTTCAGTTCTGAGGTAGCGGCGGGGGCGGGGGCGGCGGCAGCCGTGATGGCCCTGGCAGCGACTCTCCTGGGTCTCCTGTTGGCTGTTGGGGCGGAGCTCAGGGGCCCAGCTCATGGGGCTGGCTGGGCGCACAGACACACCAGGCGCAGGGACACAGGCGGGCGCACGCGTGGAGCGCTTCTAGGTGAAAGGCAGTTGGAGAGCGCGAGAAGGGGGTGGGCAAGAAGACGATCGGGGGCGAAGACGGTGGGGAGTGGAAGAGGGGAGAAGAGGGTGCGGGGAGAGAAAAACGCGGCAGGAAGTCGCTGCTGCGAGAAGGTGGGGAGGGGAAGAAGATGGCGGAGAATAAGAGGCTGGGGAAAAAAGACGATGGGAGGGGGAGAGAAGAAAGTGGGAAGAAGATTGCGACTGACAGACGCTGCTGCGAGACGGTGGGAGGACATGGGAAGAAAACGGTGTGAGGGGAAGAAAACGGGGGAGAAAACGGTTGTGGGGAAGGCGCGGGGAGAAGACAGTGAGGAGAAGAGGGCGTGGGGAGAGGACGGTGGGGAAGAGGAAGAGAAGATGGTGAGGGGAGAGAAAAGCGCGGCAGGAAGACGCTGCTGCGAGAAGAAGGTGGGGATATGGAGGCGGCAAGAAAATGGAGAAGAGGCTGGGAAAGAAGACGATTGGGAGAGGAGAAGAGGGTGGGAAGAAGGCGATGGGGAGAGGAGAAGAGGGTGGGAAGAAGGCGATGGGGAGAGGAGAAGAGGGTGGGAAGAAGACTAAGGCAGACATGGGAAGAAAAGGGTGCGGGATGAGGAAGAAAACGGTTGGCGGTAATAGGCCGGGAGAAGACGGTGAGGAGGGGGAGGGGAGAAGAGGGAGCGGCGGGAAGACGCTGCTGGGGGAATAGGCGGGAAGGTGGAGACTGGAAGCCAGCGGGTGGAGAGAAGGAGATGGAAGGAAAAGCTGCCGCCACAGGAACCCGTGCTGCGAGGAATGGGAGAGACTGAGGGGAAGAAAACGGTGGGGAAGGGGAAAAAAAAACTGCGGGGGAGAAGAAGGTGCGGGAAGAAGACAGTAGGGAGACGGCAGAAGAGGATGCGGGAAGACCGCAGTGGGGAAGAAGGAGGGGAGAAGACGGAGAGGGGAGAAAAAGGTGGGAAGACGTTGGGAAAGGAGAAGGGTCGGGAAGGAGAGGGGAGGGAAAGAGCAGAAGGTGGGGAAGAAGACTGGAAAAGGGGTGAAGGGAAGAAAAGGATGGGGAGGGAGGAGGGAAGAGGGTTGGGGGGAAGAAGAAGGGAGTGGAAAGCGGCGAAGACGACCTTGGGGAAAGAGATGGAGAGGGGAAAAAGATTGGTGGGAGAGAAGAGGATGAGGCAGGGAACGAGGTGGGGAGGGGAAGAGAAAGGCAGAAAGACGGGCTGAGAAGAGTGCTGGGAGAAGAAGGGGGAGCGGAGGGAGGGAGAAGGGAAGCGGGGAAAGACGATGGGAGAAGGTGGGGGGGGAGAAGAAGGCAGTGTGGGAGAAGAGTTGAGGGAAAAAGAAACAATAGTGATGCTAATGTTAAACGTCGTCGTCTTGGAGCAAAAGAAGCAAGTGCTGCTTTAGACTCCCGGCCTAACTTTGTTCAATAAATCCCCACTTCCAAATATCTTGTGATTGCAGTGTGGGTCATTTTTAGTACTTAGATCCAGAGCAGTCTCTGATTGTTAGTGACAGTGCTGTCAAATTGCATGCTGTTCACCAGCTATAAACGAAAACATCACATTTCCTTGAAGTGCACTTTAACGTGTAATTCAAAGACTTTTCCAAGAGGCTTACTGGGGAAAAATAGAGGTGTGTACCTTTGGCATTGGACATGGAGTCTCTGATTTTAGATTGTAGTTGTTTCCCCAAATCTTTAAGATTGTGGCAGAAACATGATTGTGACTACGGCATTCATTTTGTAGGGCAGTGCGTGTTATTTTAACAAAGGGTAAACTGATATGCCTATAAGAAAATGTAATTCAATTTAATTCACTCATACAAATTTAGGTTTCCTTAATATAAAAAAACCCAAAAACAGTTAAATTGCCTTAGTCTTTTAACATAACTTCATGCTTAGAGTCAAGAGAATTTGTAAATGCAATCCTGTAATGCTGGTGTTGCGTTATGCCTATATAAAATACATGTTAAACCTAAATGTTGCTTTTTTATTTGGCATTATGGAACTTCATAGAAGTTTATGTGTATTAATACAAGTGAACTTGACATAAATTAATTGGTGAATGATAACTTATTGCTTGTAAAATAAGCAGTTAAATGTAAGGATGTAAATACATTTTATATTACCCTATAGTTTATTTTAAATATTTTCTTCTTTTGTATTCTAGTTTAAAATCCTGGAATACTTACTGATATCTTATTTCCCCATGAAAAGGCTTCCGCTAACTATACTGTATTTCCAAGCAAATGTCTGTACCAGAACATCAAGTGTAGAAATTAAGCAAAATCTGTCTTTCAGGACAGGTGCAGTGGGTCGCACCTGGAATCCTAGCACTTTGGGAGCCCAAGGCAGGTGGGTGGCTTGAACTCAGGAGTCCCATACCAGCCCGGGCAACATGGTGAAACCCTGCCTGTACAAAAATAAACAAATTAGCCGGGCATGGTGGTGCACATCTTGTATTTTATTCAATCAAATTGAAGGCTTCATTTACCCTTGGAAAAGAAAATGATTTAATGTACTCATATAGAAAATAATTAACCTCATGCCCAGAACGGGTTCACTTACAGGACACGTTCATTTATTCTGTCAGACAGTGGGTTAAATGTGTCTGAGCACCGCCTATGAGTCAGGAACACAAGTCAGTATCCGCACTGAATATTACCCAAGCTTTTTCCATCTGTTATATAGAGTAGCATAGATAACTTCATGGACATCATCTCTTTAATTTGTTGTGGAATACTTAACATGACCTCCTCGTATATAATTATCAGTGCTGTTCTTAAATAGATGTTATCATCTGGATATTTACTAGACTTAAAACAATGACTTACTGCAGAAATGTCATCCATATCTAATGTGTACTATGCTAACTAAGTCTCACATGGTGGTTTTGGTTTTAAATAAGCTCTTGGAAATCAGGCGGTTTGCGTTTTGTTTTCATCTTATTGTACTATGAAGTAAAGTCAATAAAGATTCTGGAAACACAGTTGTGAAAAGGTCCATTGTTAGGTCCCTCCATGCAAGCTTTGGGTATTTGACACACCATCAGGCATAGGCAGCCTTTGCAACATTAAAACAGGAAGTTGCAATTTGGGTCATCCTCAGTCACTGACAGTCTATGTGCAAATTTAACGGCATGGCCACTCTATATACACATAGGACAGGTTTGGATTGGCTTTTTAAAACAAATTATATCATTTTGCCAAAAAAAAGATATGCATGGTAATAACTGCAAGTTACCATGCTTTCTTAAGAAAGAATATCTGGAAAATATATATGAAAACAAACTACATTTGCCTTTTTAAAAACATTCTATGTTATTGTGGAAGCAAAGTCACAGAAAAAAATGGTTAGAGAAAATCTGAATCAGCATGAAATAAAATATTTTGAGGGTTATTGAACACTGTTCATTTTCATGAAAATAGGACAAGTTCATTTAGCACAGCTATTTCTGTAATTGTGATACATTAGCAAAATTAGCTGTGTTCTGCGGTGCTCGAACTTGCTCTGTGTATGAAATGGCGTACCGTTAATACAAGGAAATTTGTTGTGAAACACATACTGTAGAATTAAGTTCAAAATCTCTCTGTGCTTAAATCACTTAATTTTGTTAAATAAAACTTGGTTTCCAACATTGTTTTTTTTTCTCCAGAAAAGCACAATCTGCTAAATTCTTAACCAAGTGGAAAAGAAAATATTCAAGAAAAATAAAGCAATTGTGCATGTCACACTATAGTTGAAAGTGTTCTGATACTGAAGCTATGTCCAGTATTTTAAGCTGCTTTTATGCACCGTGATTACTTCTACATTAATCTCAGAAGATTCTAGATGGAAATTCAAACGGGCCCAGCCAATTAAATGTGACTCTCTGAGAGAATCCTAGTGATACTTACTGACTTTTCCGTTTTCTGATCATTGATCAGATGGTTACAGATGCATGAAAGATACATGATTTTTAAAAACAAGATGTTATTTAAAATACCAGTGTTCAGTGCTTGCATTTGCAAGAACATAAATATTAGATGATACTGAGAACATTCCTTAATAATCAGCAAAGGTAAAATGTTGTTGTTCTGATTTTGAAAAAAGTGAAGAGGGTTACCATGAAATTATTAATTTTTTTTTTTTTTTTTTCTGAGACATAGTCTTGCTCTGTTGCCCAGGCTGGAGTGCAGTGGCGCGATCTCAGCTCACTGCAAGCTCCGCCTGCTAGGTTCACACCATTCTCCTGCCTCAGCCTCCAAAGTAGCTAGGACTACAGGCGCCCGCCACCACACCCGGCTAATTTTTTGTATTTTTAGTAGAGACGGGGTTTCACCGTGGTCTCGATCTCCTGACCTCATGATCCGCCCAACTCAGCCTCCCAAAGTGCTGGATTACAGGCATGAGCCACTGCGTCTGGCTGAAATTATTAATATTTTACTTACATTTTTTACCAAATAACTGAATTCTAAAGTAGAATTGCTGAAGTCACTGGAGTTTGATACTTCAGGATTGATGGTTTTGGTTAAATTCTTAAAAAAAGTCAAACTATAACTATATGGTATAAACAAATATGTTCATTTGTTTAATAGAAATTAAATATATATACATACAACATTCTTAGGTCAAATAGTCAATTGAATGGTTAACAAAACTACTTCCCAGTCAATTGCTTTGTCATTGTTAAGATAAATCTTCAAAGAATTTGGATTTTTTAAAAATAAGATTTGACTTGTAACTAACATAAGTATGAATTTGATAGTTATATTTTGATTTGTCAGAAATCTGAATGATTATAGAAAATTGTTTCAGTATGTCAAATTAGTTCCATGGCACCCGTGGTTATGTAACTGTTGGTACCTGTGGGGAGGGGTCCTTTTTTTCTTAATTCTCAAGCCCATAAGCAATCATTGACAATACTCAATTCTGATTCCTTTTCTTGGGGCCACATAAAGTTTTATCCCTGTCTCTATTTCTAGAAATATCTAGAAAACCTTCCTATCATGAGAGAGTCTTTTGCCAGACAATATAATAGTTTTTCAGGAGTGCAACTGCTTGGATAGATATTTTCAGTTTGGAGTTGTCAAATCATGTTCTATCATCTCAACTATTCCATATGCCAGCAGTGTTTTGGGATTGTGACACAACATTTCATTTTTCATTTTATTCACTTGGAAAAAATCAAATAATAACTATGCTGTTGCCTTAGGAATCAGAGGTATTTGCTGTTTGATACAGAGTAGGAACATTGCAATTACCTCAAGAAAATGATGACATTCTTCTAGACTGAAAAATGCACGTGTCCTTGACCAAATAACAACTCTCTTTCTTGTACAGATGGCCCAGACACTCAGAAACTGCCTATTCAGAACATGGCACATCATAGAGATGAATTTTTAATAATTTTATTTGCCCATGTTTTCTGATGGTTCTATTTCACTGTGAACGCTCAGTACCAACAATTAATAACAGGTAATTTGGAGGCTGGTGTTTACAACTGATTGATCACACCGGTTACAGATTTCTTTGTTCCTTCTCCAATTCAGTCTACGCTGTGACAAAAAATAAGACATTTATAAATATAAACATTTTATTTGCAGTGTAGCATACATTCAAATTAGGTGGTTGTGTAGACATTTTGACAAATAGTGCCATTTCTCTTTTAACACATAGGTCCTTAGTAAGCACTGCTTTCTAACACCAGTTTAAGATAGTTCTTAATTCTTTTCATCTAACGTTACAATATAAAAGTTTCAAGAATGGCGCAAAGAAAAAATTATTTGTCAAAACAATATTATCAGACATAATCAAGAACATTTTTATAAGATAATTTTGTGAGGTCAACAACAAAACAACACAAGTGAGAGAAAATTTCAAATACCATTTTTTATGATGAATAAATGTCAGACTTTTGCTTCTGATAAAGACAGATTAGATATCCGAGAATAATTTAAATTAGGTTTTGTATGTAAAATAACATTTTAAAACAAATCAGGTCCTGGCACAGTGGCTCACGCCTATAATCCCAGCACTTTGGGAGGCCGAGGTGGGTGGATCACTTGAGGTCAGGAGGTTGAGACCAGCCTGGCTAACGTGGCGAAACCCCGTGTCTACTAAAAATACAAAAATTAGTAGTGGCGTGCGCCTGTAGTCACGGCTACTCGGGAAGCTGAGGCAGGAGAATCCCTTGATTCTCAGAGGCGGACGTTGCAGTCAGCCGAGATTGTGCCACTGCACTCCAGCCTGGGTGACAGAGCAAGACTCCATCACAAAAAAATAAAAATAAAATAAATAAATGAATAAAATAAATAAGAGGTAATAATTTATTATTATTTTTTAACACTAACTGAGTTAATGCACAGCTAAGAATTGTCAGGCTAAGATTTGGAGAGAAACAGCATTTAGAGAAATAAGAGCTGCTTTGCCCTGGAGCCATTTATTACTTCAGATGGGATATCTACCAGGTTGTGTTAAACCTCTGCTAGTCTTGCAGAGGCTCCCAGTTTGGTCATGGATATCAAAAGCTGCTGGTACATTAAAGCAGTGAGAAGGAACCAGAATTCACCCAGTCACCACAGCAGGCTGGCTGCTCTCCAACTGAGTGCCCAAAAAGGTTCCAACTCCAAATTTTTATGAAAGTAATTCAGAATTTGACTGTCCTTATACTTCTGGCATGAGCAAATAGCAATCATTTGAGAAAGAAAACATTAGTTGGGCCTCTAAAGACAGACAAAACCAGTTGTTCACCCACTATATTTTGTACATTTGCTCAAAGATGTGAGGGTCAATGAAGAAAAAAGACACTGTGAGAAGGAATAAACAGATGCCAAGGAAAAAGAAAAAAATGTGTCAAAGCAACTAGAATTAGTATATTCAAAGGCATGAGGTCAAGTTTGGAAACTTCAACAAGAAAGTGGAAACTATGAAATTGACAGGTTAGGGTAAATAAAAACACACAAAAATTCTAATACTAAAAAGTGTGAGGAAGAAAAAGGTGACTCAATAAATGAGTTTAACAGCAAATGAGGCTGGGTGCCGTGGCTCATGCCTGTAATCCCAGCACTTTGGGAGGCCGAGGAGGGTGGATCACAAGGTCAGGAGATCGAGACCATCCTGGCTACACAGTGAAACCCTGTCTCTACGAAAAATACAAAAAATTAGCCAGGCATGGTGGTGGACAACTTTAGTCCCAGCTACTCCGGAGGCTGAGGCAGGAGAATGTCGTGAACCTGGGAGGTGGAGCTTGCAGTGAGCCGAGATCTCGCCACTGCACTGAAAAAAAAAAAACAAAAAAAAAACAAACCTTTTGTGAATCCAAGCATCTCTTACAGGTCTACTGCTTCCACCCCTTCCCATCTGTCATCTCAGGTCTCGATTAGTAGCCTGTCCTTCTAGATGCTTTTTACTCCTTCTATTGTTCCTTTTGTCTTTCCATGAAGCCATCTAGCCGATTTTTCAAAAATATCATTTAAAATGTCACCCTTTGGCTCAAATTCTTTGAATGAGGGCAAAACTCTTTTCTTTTTTTAAAAAAAAATTTAACTTTTAAGGTCAGGGTACATACGCAGGCTTGTTCCATAGGTACACTTGTGTCATGGGGGTTGTTGTATAGATTCTTTCATCATCCAGGTATTAAGCCTAGTACCCACTATTTTTTTTTTCTGCTCTTCTCCCTCCTCCCACCCTCCACCCTTCGAAAGGCCCCAGTGTTTGTCATTCCCCTCTATGTGTCCATGTGTTCTCATCATTTAGCTCCCACTTATAAGCTTGCTAAGGATAGTGGCCTCCAGCTCCATCCATGTCCCTGCAGAGGACACGATCTCATTCTTTTTTATGTCTGCATAGTACCCCATGGTGTATGGTGTGTATATACCACATTTTCTTTATCCAGCCTATCGTTGATGGGTATTTGGGTTGATTCCATGTCTTTGCTATTGTGACTAGTGCTGGAATGAACATACACATGCATATGTCTTTATAATAAAATGATTTATATTCCTTTGGGTATACACCCAGTAATGGGATTGCTTCATTGAATGGTATTTCAGTCTTGGGTCTTTGAGGAATTGCCACTGTCTTCCACAATGGCTGAATTAATTTACACTCCCACCAACAGTGCCTAAGTGTTCCCTTTTTCTCCACAACCTTGCCAGCATCTGTTATTTTTTGACTTTTTAGTAATAGCCATTCTGACTAGTGTGAGGTGGTAGCTCGTTGTGGTTTTGATTTGCATTTCTCTAATGATCAGTGATGTTGAACGTCTTTTCAAAAGAAAACTCATTTTTCTTGCACTGTTGAGCTGATTGCCATCAGTTCCAAACCTCCCCCCTTTACCTTGCTTGCCGGCTTTGCCTTTTCTGTGGCACGGTGTGAAACTTCATCTGCAGCATCTGCTAAAGGGACGCTGGAGAAGGTTGGGGCTCTTTCTAGTTCTGAGTGCTCCTCTTACCTTGCTCTTGTGGGGGACAGCAGCCAACCCTGGCCATCACCTCTCTGGGGACAGAGCAGGTCACAAGCAGCACTTAGGGGAGCAGTTTTCCAGTGTTTTGTCAGTGTAGAAACTCAGCAAAATTCTCTGCTCTCTAGCAGGCTACATCCTCACCCTCTCCAAGGAGGTCTAGCACTCACTTCTGGTGTGTGTGGGAGATTCTTCCAGATTTGTTTCTTCCTGCAGTGCTTGCCTAAAGCTCTGGAGAGCACACTGGCAGCTCCGTGAATTTGCTGTCCCTATTTTGTGTGTGTGTTTGCTTTGCCTTTCCTAAGCTTGTCCAACCCACAGCCTAGGGCTGCTTTGAATGAGGCCCAACACAAATTTGTAAACTTCCTTAAAACGCTATGAGATTTTTGGCTGGGTGCCAGCGGTTCATGCCTATAATCCCAGCACTTTGGGAGGCCGAGGCAGGCAGAGCACTTGAGTTCAGGAGTTCAAGACCAGCCTGGCCAACATGGTGAAAACCCGTCTCTCTACTAAAAGTACAAAAATTAGCCAGGTGTGGTGGCACATGCCTGTAATCCCACCTACTCAGGAGGCTGAGGCACAAGAATTGATTGAGTCTGGAGGCAGAGGTTGCAGTGAGCCGAGATCATGCCACTACACTCCAGCCTGGGTGACAGAGTTAAGACTCTGTCCAAAAAAACAAAACAACAGGCTGGGTGCAGTGGCTCACACCTGTAATCCCAGAACTTTGGGAGGCCGAGCCAAGCAGATCATGAGATCAAGAGATCGAGACCATGCTGGCCAACATGGTGAAACCTCATCTCTACTAAAAATACAAAAATTAGCTGGGTGTGTGCCTGTAGTTCCAGCTACTCGGGAGGCTGAAGCAGGAGAATTGCTTAAACCCAGGAAGCAGAGGTTGCCATGAGTCGAGATGGTGCCACTGCACTCCAGTCTGGCAACAGGGCGAGACTCCGTATCAAAAAAAATCCCAAAAAACAAAAACCAAACCAAACAACAACAACAAAAACCCAAAACAAACAGAAAAACACTATGAGGTTTTTTTGTGATTTTTTTTTTTAGCTTATTGGCCATCTATTAGTGTTCATGTATTTTATGTATGGCCCGAGACAATTCTTCCAATGTGGCCCAGGGAAGCCAAAAGATTGGACACCCCTGCTTTAAGAGAGATTTCCCTGAAATAGTTAAGTTATTTACTTTCAATTTTCCTTATTCAAATTACTGTGCAGTTTCAGCCTCCTGGTTGGACAGTAACTGACCACAATGTCTCCCAAGGCCTGGCATTATTTAGCTCCTGGCATTGCTCTGAAACTGTCGTCTACCATCCTCCCGTTGTGCACTTTGCTCTGGCCTCACTGATGGGCACGTTCTTCCCAGAACATCCTCCTACTTAACTTTGTCTCACTTTTTGCCTAGAATCTTCTTCTTGCTATTCAAATGTCTCATTACCAGAATTTTCCACATATGATGTAAAATGTGCTTCTAATACAACACTTTCTCTCTACTTTAGCCTACTTCATTTTTCATAAAAGTTCTTGTCACCACATGACGTTACAGTCATTTATTTCCTGGCTCTCTGACTCCTCTCATTGGAAAGTTATGCCCTTGACAGCACACACAGTCTGTTTTCTTCCTGGTTAATCCTTGTGCCTGCACCTCTGTATAGCCTAGCACGTGGTAGACAATGAAACGACTGAATGAATTAATGAACAAATGAAGTAGTGTACTTCCTAGATGAGAAAACTGAGACTCAAAAGTGATAAGTACCAAATCAGTATAACATAAAAGTTAGGAGTTTAAGCTCTTTGGGGAGAAATGTGGGTTTAAATGTGGGTTTTGCTACATCCTACTAGTGTAACTTATATATATTTCTTAAATTCTCTGTGCCTCATTTTCCTTATCTGAAAAATGTGGATTATAATGGTAACTACTTTATACTGGGCTATATAGAGTAAATTATGTATATAATATGCCTAGTACAGCGCTTGACACAAATTAACAATTCCACATATTTAGTTACTTGTACAATTATCTGTAGCTGCAAAACTATAAATGCAGGTTTGTCATCTTTCTGGGGAGATAGCAAGAGAAAGGTTAAGTTTATAAAATGCCTAAATAATAAAAACTATATTATCAAAGTAAAATGCCTAAACGAGGGCTGGTTTTAATATCAACTAATTAGTAGCTGCCTAATAGTAAGAACTGACTCTAAAATCAAGTAGACAAGAAAATGGTCCTGCCTGTGCCCTCTCCCTGAATGCCCTGTGGGTCAGGGACACCCAATTCCCTTGTCTCCCTTGCTCAAGGCTTGTTGTCCTGGCAACCTTGGAGGAGGTGCAGGAGTGAGGGGCCTCTGCTGCTCTCTGAGGCTGTGGGTGCTTGTAGGGAGGGGGGGGTCTCCCACAAATGGGCCTGGCTCCTCTAGTAACTTTGAGGGCCCTGTGAGGGGCAGAGCGAGACACCGTGGAAAGTGGGAGGGGGCTTGTTGGAGGGTCTTGCCCACATCCCCCTCCTGCGTGCACAACATGTCCAGTATACACACACTGAGCGCCTGCCCTGAGGACTGGTGGGCCTCCTGTACTTTCTTAGAGTCCAGGAGGAAGAGAAGGAAGAAAAGGTGAAGAGGAAGGCCCAGGTAGTAGGGTTGCTGGTCCGGGGCACTCGCCCACTATTGACTGCCCCAGAGGGTGACATGGGAGGGGACATGGCACTGGAGCCCACTTGGGGGTGGCAGGTCCCCTTGCTTCCTTGTTAGTTTCTTCGTAGAGGCCCTAAGATGCTTGAGCACAGTGTCATCGTCCGTGGCCCAGGTATGGAAGAACTGGTTCCGAAAACATGCCAAAAGGCCAGACCTGGATGTCTTCATGAGGCGCTCTAGGGACAGGGTGGATATCAGGCCAGGACAGTTACCTGGGAATGGTCACAGCTCATACCCCGTGGCCACTTCAGTCTCCCACTGGGCCGTGCCGGATCCTTTTGTGGCCACCCCAGGCGTCCAGATGTACACAGGAGACTGTGGCTGGGGGGTGATCTGGACAGGGAAGTGCTCACCACACTCCTGACCTTCATCTGGGTCATGTGAGGGATGGGCTCGGCATCACAGTGCCCTTCCCAGCCCACCTGGCCAGACCTCCCTCTGGGCCAGAACAGAGGATCATGAGGACAGTGTGAGGAAGCTGCCCTTGGGCCAGTCGGGTCTGACCGCAGGGCTCCCCAGGCCCCACTGGGTACACATAGACTTACTCTTCTGAACCTTAAAAGCAATGCTTCTGATCGGCATCAACACCTGTCCTTCCAGCAAATACATGTCCCACAAGCGCAGGGTGAGCCCGAGAGAGATCTGTGGGGACAGCAGGTGTGAGACAACCTGGCCCTTCCAGGCTGGGGCTGGTGGCTCAAGCTGCACACATTGGGGCTTCAGTCTCCAGAGTCAGTGACCTTCCCCATGAGGGTCGCCTGAGCCATCTAGAATGGTGGGTCAGACAAGGTCTTGCAGCTCCTCATAGGGGGCACTCATTTGAGTGGGGATGTGGCTCCTGGACAGAGGGGCTTGCCCAGGGCTTGAGGCTTCCCTGAGCCCTCTCAAGTTGGGTCCTGGCCCAGTCTGCCCATGAGGCTGGGCCTGAGCCCCAGCCATTGCCCTGGGATGACCCCTCTTGGGCAGAGGGTTTTGCTTGTGTGTCCTTCGGGGACCCGCCTGAGCCTCCTGTGGGCTGGGAGTGAGCCAGACCCCCGGACTGGGGAAGCAGGGCACTGCAGGGCAAGGAGGGTCCCTGAGCCAGGGTCTCCCTATGCCTCCTTACCCCTTGAATCAACATCCGGAGAAGGCAGCCTAATGAGGAACACTGTCCGCATAGACCTTCCTTGTCCTGATGGGAGGAACAGAGGTGCTCAGGGCCCCCTGGGCTGCCCTAAAAACCTCCATCTTCCAGGGCCTCTGAAGACCCTTCCCCTAGTGCAGAACACTGGGCGGTGTCCAGAGCTCCCCACAACACTGTCCCCTTCCCACACTCTCAGTGGACACACTGACCTTTGACTTGCTCTGCGGGAGCTGGGCCCCCATCCCTGTGCCTCTGTCTCCTCCAGGGCAGGAAAGGAAACAAACTCCCAGCCCATGGAGAACCCGACGTCTCAGGTCAGGCCCTGGCTGGGACTCCGCCAGTCACCAGTCCCACGAGGGTCTCCAGTCCCCCTGCTCCTATAGCCCCACGGGAGGCAAGGCCTCTGAGAAGAGCCAAGGGGACAATAAACTCACCTGATGCCACATGGTCTTGGGTTGTGACTTGGGTACCACATGCTCCTGTTGGTCTTGGAGCCCCTGGACTGTCCCGCCATTTGGGCTGTGGAATCCTGAGAAGCCCCCAGCCCATCATGAAATCAGAGCCTTCCCCCAAGATGTGGAGCCATCAGCTGCAAGAGCTGGGCAGCTGCAGAGGCCCCCAAACCTGAAGGCCTCCCACCCTCCCATCTGGTGACCCCACCATGCGGCCTTTGCCCTGGGGAGGTAGGACAAGAACATCCCCTGGAGCCTGGCTGGAGGTTCCCCTGGAGGCCTCCTGGGCTAGGGTGCAAAAAGGGCAAGCCTGACTTTGAGGTCACAACAGAGCGGCCAGAACACGGTGGGTGCTGGGCTTCCTGGTCATCTTGTGGAAGTGGGGTTGGGCCAGGGGACACGGGATGGGGAGATGCTGCCACCTGGGCTTGGTTAGCCCATTCGTGGGCACCAAGGGCAGCAGGAGCCTGGGCAGCTGGAGGGCAGGAGGACTCTCAGGGAGGGGAGAGTCAGCTGCACAGAGTCAGAGCCGGAGGGTGTGGCTCCAGGACACAGAGGGTGGCCACGGGGAGGATGAGATGCCCTCTGCTGATGGGGATGAAAGGCATTTGACTTGGGCTGTGGGGGTCAGCTGCGGACTCCTGTGGGACCCTCAGCAGAGACGTCCTAAAGGCTCCCAACAAGCTGGCGACACAAGGATGGTGCCTTGGCTGAAAGCCGAGATCACCTGGCCACGGTGGCTGTCCCCAGATCTGGCTGCATGAGGCCCCACGGGCAGCTGTTCACCTACCCGGCAGGGAGTGCCTCTCACTGGCCAGCAGCTGCACCAGTGCCCAGAATGCATCTTCCTCAGGCAGATAAAGGAGAAACAAGGTGGCAATGTGGCTCAGGTCCCTGCAGTAGCCCACCTCCTGCAAGAGCCAGAGTCGCCATGGAAGGACATCACCTGGGAGGGCCGAGGTCACCTGGGAGGACTCATGTCATTGGAGAGGGCAGAGGTGACTGGGGAGGCTTCCTCTGAAGAGGCTTCCTCAGGATGCAAATTCATTTCATGACAAGAGCCAAGTCCATCAGGCACTTCAGCACCTTGTCCAAATTGTCTCCTGAGAGCACCGTCCTGCATGTGACACTGCCAAGCTCCCAGGCTTTGGGGCAGCCCCAGGAGGAGGGTGTCATTTCTTGTTCTGAGAAGTGCCCAGGTGACAGGCCCAGGTGACACCAGGAGTCCAGGCCCCAAGTCCTTTGTGTCTCAGCTTGACCCCTTGAGACCACCCCCTTGCTTGGAGGTTTATGCCAGCAGTGACCTGGAATCCTACCTCCTATATCCTGGTGGGTCACAAATACTAACTTTAAAAGAAGCAACGACACCCCCATCAGACACCCACTCCTGTGAATATGGAAATATGGCCCAGGAACCTCACTGCCGGGAATACTCACCGGGTTATACTCTGAATATGCCACAAGGATGTAGAATAGTTCCCGCTGCCTAGGAAACAGAGAAAGGGGGCTAGGGTTTGGTTTGTGCAGATGCTGTTAGTTTCACTTTGTCTACAAATCCTAACAACAAATCCCATTTCAGGTTCAGATGATTCACCAGATAAGCAGTGAACTTTCAGGGCCTGAGATTATTGAAGAAATGTTTCAGTAAAATCCACATCTGTGACATGCAAATAGCCCAGTTGTACAGGGAGTTGACCGATCCTTTTCACTCTGAATGATTTTTTTTTTTTTTCAGTTTGCACACACGCCAGTTCAGTCTTTGGGTGTACAGTTCCTCCACGGTTCCAAACCAGTGTGCAGAGTCTCCCGGCCACCACTCCAGCCCCTCCTGGAGTGACTCCTGATCTTTCAAATCTCCAGGGTTTCCCCTATGCACCCAGCCTCTCCCCGATCCGTCAGCCCCTGGCCACCCAGACTGCTTCTCAGTCCCTATGGTTTGGTCTTTTCCAGAATGGCCTAGGAATGGGAATCCTACTGTGGTAGCTTATTGGGTCTGGCTTCTTTCCCTTAGCAAAATGCATCTAGGATCCACCCACATTCCTGCGGGCATCACTGGCTCATTCCCTTTTCTCACTGGGTCTTCTGTTTGAAAGGAGGACCAGACTGTCTCTCCCCATTCCCGTGTTGAAGGCCATCCCAGAAGGCTTCGTGTGTGACTGATGAGGAATCAAGCAGTGAACGTGGCATGCAGGTTTCATGTGGATGTCAGTTTTCAAATCAGTGGGTTCAATATCTGTGACACCTTGGGGACGTGTGGTTCAAGTCCATTGAGCTTTGTGAGCCACTGCCCAACTGGCTGCCAACGTGGCTGTGCCATGTCATATTCCCAGCAGACCTGGATGAGAGTTTCCAGGACCCCTAATTCTCCCAGCATTTGGTGCTGTCAGTGTTGCCTGGGGAGGCTCATGGGCTCTCCATCCTGCCACCCTCCCGTGGGTCCTACCATGGGTCCCCGTGGGTCAGGGAGAGCACCTTTCACCATTATGCATGATTTTGTTTGCTGTCTTCTGTCTCCTCAGGATCCTCCTGGGTTCTGGCCCCACATGTTCCAGCCTGGCCCAGGGCTTGGAACCAGGGAGGTGCTTGGTTCATGGTGCCGGCTGCTCCCTGGGCTAGGAGAGCTCTTGGCAGCCTGTCATCCCTCCTGGGTGATCCTGGCTTCTGCTCTGGGAAAGTCCCCATCCCTCTCATTCACCCCATCTCCTCTGGGACCCTGTGGCTCTCGTAGGCTTACTTCACTCCATATCGATCCCTGAAGAAGACATGGTTCTGGAGAGTCCTGCTCACGTCCAGTTTGATCTGGTGGATGTGTTCAGAAGACCTCTTGCCCTTCTCCTTCATGATCTGTAGGGCAGGGCCAAGAGGAGGAAGCAGCCTCAGAACAGATGGAAGACTCCCTGCCCCAAATGGCAGTCAGCCCACAGTCAGCGCTTTGGGAAGGAAGGAAAGAAGGAAGGTTTCCTTGTGCAGAAAGCTGCTTTTTGGCTTGTTACTGAAGCCAGGGAGGGTCACCAGAGCCGAGTTCATCTGTGGTGACTATGTCACCGTCTGTGCCCAGGAAGTGCATCTGACCATCCCCCCCACCCCCCCAGGCTGGGCTTGACGTTCCCTCCAGCTGGAGGCCTGGGCCCCTGACACAGCCTGTCCTGTTTGTTGTGCTCTGGCTGAGCGTACCTAGTATTTTTTGGGGTGTTTTGACTTGATTTCCTGAATGTTCAGGAGGACTGACAACACCAGGCCCCGGATGTTCATGGGAATGCCCTTATAGATGCGATCTATGAGCTGTGGGCAGAAAACAATCTGGTGTCACAGGCCATGGGGTGACCCCAGTGAGGATCAGAGCCCAGGGATTCTGGAAATTTTTGGTTTTGGCCCCATGATTCCTCAGTAGAGGTGAGATCAAGCTGGGACAGGGTCTCCCTTCCCAGGACTGAAAGAGTGGATGGACACTCAGAGTTGAAACTGTGATCCGAACCTTTTTCTTCCTTCAGGTCACCAGGGCATCCCTAGCCTTGAGCTCCAGGTGGTCCCAGCCCTAGATTCAGATTCCCTCCCAGCAAGGTGACGCTTGCACGAATAGGCAGGCAATCTGACGACCAGGCCTGCAGTCTTCTGTGCAAGGACAGTGTGCCACCCGCCCTCTGAGAGGCTGACGGTGCCAGGCCACAGCCATGGGTGCCTCTCTTCTGTCTCTGCAGAGAGTACTTCCGGGGCCTCTCCCTCCACACATTACCTTTTTGCTGTTTTTATATGTCTCGCATTTGCCCAGCATTTCCAGCCACTTGCTCTTTCTTTTTTTCTCCTGCCGAATTTGCTGCCAAATGAGGAATGTTGGAGTTAGCGGAGCTGCCAGGCTTCCCAGAGCCGCCCGTGGATGCTGGGTCTTGGGCTCTGGAGCCCTGGTGGGACCCAGCTGGAAGGAGCCAGGGAAGGGCAGACCCTAAGGGCTGAGAGCCTTTGAGCAAATGAGCGCCAGTGGGCTGGCTTTGGGACCCCAGGATGTGCCATCCTTAGGCCACAGACACACCAGTCTTAGGTCCCAGCCTCTAGGTGGGTTCCTGACACAAGCGGGCAGCCACCCCCAAGCCAGGACTGTGGTTCTCACTTTGGAATTTTATCAAACTGCCAAAGTTACAGCAACTGGGGTCAGGTCTCTGCTGCCCCTCCCAGTGACAGCGTGTTGCCCTCACCCGCCACCGCCCAGGCCAGCTGCTTCCTCTGCCTCACTGACCACCCGCCCAGTCCCTACGTCCCTGGACCAGCCCCTCCATGCATCAGGCTCTTACCTTTGCCTCCCGTGCAGTCACAGGAGGCAGCTCCGTCTCACTGTAAGGCAACTCAGGCAGAGCTGAGGACCTGCACAGGGCCTGGAGCCACCCAAGCCTGGGAGCCGACCCCCAGAAAGGACTGGCACTGTCCCTATCCAGCTCAGGGCTCAGCCCCGGAGAAGTCACAGGGAAGGGAGGACAAGGACCTTCCTGTGGGGCTGACTCCCAGGAGGGGCAGGACCTGGGAGAAGGAGTGCAGGGACAGCCTGGCTGGGGTTACTGGGGCCCTGGCATGGGGGGTGGTCAGGCTGCACAATGGGGCTGCGCGTCCTGGACTCAAGGTGGTGCTTTCTGCTGGAGCTGAGAAAGGTTAGCCCTGAGATGGGATGGGGGCCACCCAGGGTGGGCGACCGGGCCCTGACAGGAGTCCCTCAGGGAGTGACCACATCACCCCGCCAGGGTCAAGGGAGCCTGCCCTGAGACCTGCCCGGTGTACTCTGGGTGCACCAGGGGCCCATCCCACTTGACAGCCCCAAGGCTCTTGCAGGTTCTGACCTCCCAGCATCCACCTGCCTCTCCCTGCATCTGAGCCACACACCCTGCATTTCAGAAGTGGCACGGCTCATCAGCTCCCTCCCACCCTACCTCCCCCGGGATCCTCTGTCTCTGCATCCTATGATCCCCGAGGGATGGGCTCCTGGCTGGGCTCCTCTTACCTGGCCCCAGATCCCTTCCCAGCACCAGACCCAGGTCTTTAGCCACAAGCCCTGCTGCCTCTCTGGTCTCACCATGAGATGCCCAGAGCGGGGCCCTGCCCGTCTTCTCCCCCATTCTCTTTGGGCCAAAGCCCCCACTGTCCCCACACCTTTCCCCCTTCCCCATGGGGACAGTGAGGGCTGTAGTTCTAGGGAAATGGGGGAGGACAGGGGCAGGTGGGCTCTGAGAGACCTGCTGGACAGCAGCCCTGAGGCTGGGCCAGGTGTCTCCTCACCCTGTGGCCACAACCCTTGGATCTCACTGGGGTTGTCTCCTGGTAGACAGGGCCAGAACCTCAGGCTGCCCCGCTCCTCTTGTGCTAACTTGCCGACAGAACTGCTGAGAGCCCAGGGGCCTGGCCTAGCCCCCTCTCCATTCCCACCGGCTCCCTAGATGGGCCTTGCACCTCTGGCCTAACAACAATCTCGGGCTGGACCTGCAGGGGAGCCAGGGAGGAGTTCTGACCCTGGAAAAGAGGTTGGCCCGACCTGGCGAGACATGTCCTGCGTCAGAAAGGCCTTTCTAAAAGCAAACCCATCCCTGAGCTGAGACAGCTGCTTTAGGGGTGAGGGGAGCACAGAGGACTCACTGCAGAATCCCAAAGCGATCAACGCTGCTGTAGATTCCAACAGGTTCAGGCCCCTTGTCCTCTGGCAGCCCAGCTCGGTGTCCCTGTAACCCAGAGGGAGCCTTGGTGAGGGGTCCAAGGTAAAGGGTGCAAGGGCCTGGGGGTATTGGCCACCTGTCCCTGCCCTGTGCTCGGAGGGAACCCAGGACCCTTTGACCAGGGCGCACAGGAAAAGGCCTCCCTCCAAGGAGCAGACCGAACTGTACCTTCTGATACTTCATAATTATGTCCTCCCGCTCCTATGCCTGCACACTATCCGCGCCCTCTACCATGTCCATCCTGTGAGACAAAGTTGTCTAAAGGTTACACTGTACCCGACAGCTTCAGAGAACCCCTGAACTGCTCCCGCTGGGCTCCCAGATGCTGGCTGGTTGTATAACCTGCATTCCACCACTGCGCTCTGGTAAAAAGGGTCCAAACCCCGTGGCCCACACATCCATGGGTCTCTGCAGTCTGAAGCCCTAAGCAGGGGTGGGCATCTTCCCAAGGACTCGAGAAGAGTGGGACCTGGACAGAGAATCCCGTTGTCCCCATATGCCATGAAACGGGCACACACCTGCCCTGGCAGGTTGAATGGTGTCCACCTGCCAAGGGTGAAGAGCCTGTGATGGGCTATTCCAGGGATGTGGATGTGAACTGCGGTCAGGCACCAGAGGTCTCTGTACGATCGGCCTCCTGGGATGCTCAGGGCCACAGAGATGCCCAGTTTCCTATGAGGAACAAGATCTCTCCTGATTGCTCCGTTCTACCCCGCTCATCACTTGGGCTACCATGGCCCTTCAGTCTAACCAGTGAAGCTGCTTTAAGAATAACGCCATTTGAGCAGGAGTGTGTTTGGTTTTGGGGATGAAAATGATCTACTGTCTCCAAAGCAGCCACTGTGCTCATGGAAACCATGTCTCTCGGGGACGGACTGTGGACTCCACCATTCTGAGCTGTCCCTACAGGAGGGGGCTTCATGTTCCTGTGTCACTGATGTAGAAGAGTGGGTCCTTGCTCCTGGAGAACATCTAGATGGACCGTCCCTCCTGATAATACTCAGGGCAAAAGGAAAGCGAGGCCAGACAGAATAAGAAATACTTGGGGAGAACCCCAGTGCCCGGACCCCTTTGAACACAAGGGAAGTTAGTCTCCCCTCAGCCAGTCCTCCAGGGCTCCTTCACTTTCCACAACTGCCCAAGGGCAGAAGCCTCCCCATGCCACTCCCAGACAAGGGACTATGTGTGTCCAGTGGGTCCCACGGTGACCATCAGGACCCAGCTTAGGCCCCAGGTGTGTTCTGAGGACCCTTCCCTCCTCCCCACCCACAGTGGATCCATTCCAGTGTCTCTGCCAGGGCCAGGCTCTGCCCCATCGGGATCGGAAATCTGGGCAGATTTGGGATCTAGAGCAGGGAGGTCTCAGGGTTGAGGCCTGAAGTCTAGCACGGCACACAGCAGGGCTGAGAGCAGAATCCAGGGTCATGTCTGATTCCCAGGCCGGTTACCGCCTCTCTGACCCCAGATGTCTCACCTGTCGAATGGGTACATTTGGGAACAGCACCCACTCTACGAAGCCACCATGAGGACGAAAGAGAAGGGTCACTGAGCAGGTTTTTTCAGCTCTGAGCAGCTCTCCTTTTTCAGCTCTTGCCGCATCTCGGACTGTCCCAATGACAGCCATAGCAAGAAGAGATAAGAAACAAGACAAGTTCATGTTGTCCAGTTTTGAGGTCTTGAAAGAAGTTGCACCAGTATGAGAATAGTGGATCAGTTTTCTCTAGGATCCAGAAAGCATATCAGGCAGCCTTGGGGTGAGGAAAGGAGCCCGGCCTCTCCAGCAGCCACACAGGCCTGCAGTAGGATGGGGTTGGGGCTGGCCATGTGGATCACTTGGGCCTCATGAGGGGAAAGGAAATACCAGGGGGCAGAGGAGGAGCATGGGGGCAGCTGGTTGCCTAAGGAGAAGGCACCTCAGGGAAGGGGACTGTATTCGTTTGTTTTCACACTGCTATAAAGAAATACCTGAGATTGGGTAATTTATAAAGGAAACAGGCTTTATTGACTTGCACTTCAGGAAACTTGCAATCACGGCAGAAGGTGAAAGGGAAGCAGGCACCTTCTTCACAAGATGGCAGGAGGGAGTGAGTGGAGAACCAGTAAGTGCCACATTTTGAAACCATCAGCTCTCCTGAGAACTACCTCACTATCCGGGGAGCAGCACGGGGGAAACTGTCCCCAAATCCAATCCCCTCCTACCAGGTTCCTCCCTTGACACAGGAGAATTACAATTCCAGATGAGATTTGGGTGGGGACACAGAGCCAAACCTGTGAGGGTCTCAGTCTATCTTGCAGCTCCCCTGGGGCTGAGGCTGAGTACAGATCTGCTGGCCTCGCCCTATAGCACGCGAGGGCTCTGCCAGTGCACCCCCATCTGCTGCTTCCTAGGGATGGTGGTGACTTCCTCAAAAGGAGCGTGGATTTGCTCTCCTGCTGCCCCTGCAGGGCCTTGTGGAGCCCCGGCCAAGTTCTCCCAGGGTAAGGGCAGGAAACAGGCCTCCTTGCCCTTCTTGCTACTTGAGTGACAACCCTGGAGTCATCCCTAGGCCCCGTCACTGCCCCTGCTTCTAAACTGAGAACATTTTGGCAAATCTTCCTGGCAGAGGCTGGGGGCTCATCCCTGCTATCTGTCCTAGCTTGGTAAAGCTGGGTTAAGACATCTGGGCAAGCAGACAGTAGAGTGGACCCCAGGAAGGGTGGGTGGAGGGCGCTGGCCTTTGGGCTTCCCTGGACCAGGGTGGGAAGGAGGAAGTTTACCAGGAAATAGAGCTCTCAGGACTATGTTTAGGAGGAGGTGGTAATGCTGGTGGGGGGATGTCCATTCATCCATCCATTCATCCATTTTCTCCCCCCACCCCCCATCTCAGACTGTCCCCATGACAGTCCTAGCAAGAAGAGACAAGAAACAAGACAAGTTCACGTTGTCCAATTTTGAGGTCTTGGAAGAAGCTGCACCAGTATGAGAATAGTGGGTCAGTTTTCTCCAGGATCCAGAAAGTATATCAGGCAGCCTTGGAGTGAGGAAAGGAGCCCGGCTTCTCCAGCAGCCACACAGGCCTGCAGTAGGATGAGGCTGGGGCTGGTTTGGGGTGGAGGATAAGTGATAGCCAAGGTTTGTCAGCATGCAGAGGGGTGGCTGACTCATGGACTAGGGGCTGCGGAGCCCAGTGGTTGCCCTTAGTTCTTGGATCCTGGGAGACTTCTGGAGCCTGGATTTGGACAGCCTAGGGGTGGAGGTGGTGAGGGGCAGGGGTGGGGCGGGAGGAGAGGCCTTGCATGACAGGGTGCAGGGCAGGAAGCCAGCCAGGGACTGCTTTGCAGTGGCTGTTCCCATCCCCATTCCCACCCCCAAACCCACCCCTCCCCCCACCCTGGTGCGGGGTCGGTTGTGGGCAGGTGTCCTCTGCTTTGGCCTCAGCAGATCCCAAGAGGGAAGCTGGCAGCCACGTGGGCATGTCACTTGTGTCAGCTTTGTCCTGCAGTTTCTGCTTCCTGGAGCGTGGGGCGCCCACCCAGGAGAACACGGGCACACCCCACACCTCTCATTTTGAGGGTGCTGGGAGGTGGGGGACCTAGGTCCTGCAGCCCTGTGCTTGTGCCGTGAAACTTAGCCTAGGAGTCCCGTGTCCGCCCATCCACGTGGAGCCCCAGGAGCCTGAACAGTGGCATGCAGTGAGATGAGGAGGGAGAGAGAACTGGAAAAGGAGACAGAAAGAGATGTGGAGCAGGGAATGAGAGAGAGGAAGAGACAGAATAAGAAATACTTGGGGAGAAGTATTTCATCCCTCTGGGGTGCCATGACTCCTCCCTGCTATGGATGGAGGAAAGTGATTGATCTGCCGGAGACATGAAACCACATGATACTTCCTTCCACAATAAACTGGAGGGTCAAAACAGGCAAGAGTAGGTCCAGGTCTTCTAAAAGCCATACCTGAAATGTTTCCAATAACAGTTGATTTGGTGGTGGTAACTCAATCACACAAACAACCACAACAAAAGACACAACTATCAGAGATTTTCAGATAGCCTCAAAAACACCATCTAACATTAGAGAGTTCAAAAAGGCATGAAGTTTCAAAAAATTGAGCTTTATTTACATATCATTTGCATAAACTGGTAATTTAACAGTATGAATAAATTCTAGGGCAGAAGACAGTTTGGAGACCCCAGGGCACAAGTGCTGAGTTTGGAAGATTTGGTACTGTACCCTTTGAAGCCCTCACCTGGTCCCCGCACCCCTTGCCTGCCTGTTAAGAAGAGCCCGTACCAGGGAGCAAATCAGGGGCAAATAGCCCAGAAGCCCAGTAGTGGACAGACCTCCATGCCTGGAGGAGGAGGCCACCTCTGAGAGCAGGAGGAGCTGCCCGAACCCTTCCTCACAGCCTCCTTTTCCTGCTCTCAACACCTCCAGCTTGCAGATAGACAGCCCCAGCACCGGCAGAATGAAAAGGTCCTGAGGCAGCAGGGCTGTGGCTCTGGTAAATAAAAGAGGCCTCTCTTTAGTAAGGTAGAGGAGCTCAGACTGCACACCCTGGTCTCTGACACCAAGGCTCGCTCCATGCCCAGGACTAGGGGCAGCGTGGGAGCTGCTGGCTGGGGCCATGCTCGCAACCTCTTCTCTGCCACGTCTATCTCCAGCGATGCTCTCAGCTCCAGGGCTGAGCCCAGTGGCTACAGCAGGTGGCATGAGGTCTGGCAGCTTGTCGCTTTGCTGGTCTTTGGCTGTATCGGTGCAGGGCCCGGAGGACTCTGGAGCTACCTCTAGCTGCAGCACTGCCTCTGGATGGGGACTTCCCCATGCTGTGGGCTGTGGCTCCATAGCGGGCACTGGAAGTTCCTCTCTCTCTGCACGTGCGGCAAGAGCTGAAAAAGGAGAAAGGGTCACTGAGCAGGTTTTCTGTGTCTGAGCCCCAGAGTTCAATCTCTGCTGACCAGACCCCCACTGACCAGACCCCTGAGCGGTGGTGTTCAGAGTCCCCTACCAATGGCCCTTCTCAGTCCACAGACCTCTCCCTCCCCTCATCAGCACCCACAGGTGACTGAGAGTCTTCTCGGGACCGGACCCCAACTCCAGGACACAGGGAGGGGCAGTTTGTCCCAGGCTCCGGGTGCTGAGCTTCACGCTTGTGCCACAAGGTCCTCTGGGCCATCTCAAAGGGGGCAGTGATGTGGCCTCACACATCTGGATGCACTGTCTGGGCCTATTCCTGAGCCACATAGCCAGAGGAACAGGAAGCTGTTTGTCAACCCAGGTACCCCACTCTGCTGGGTCTCCCAGGGTCCTTCCCATGGAGGCCAGATCCAGAGACACAGCACAGAGGCAGCAGGGTGACCGGCCCAGAACCCTTGAGACTAGGCTGGGGATGACAGGAGGACTGTCCCCAGACAACCAGAAGACCCTTTGCTAGTTTCTTGGTACTTCATTTCTCACCTGCTACCCTTACTCCACCAGAAATCCCCTTCATGCAGAGTCAATGAGGAGAGGAAGATGGACACAGAATCTGTGGAAAGAAAGAAAACAAAAGATGGGTGGGGAGAAGAGTTGGGAGTGTAACGTTGTAAGGGTCCTACACTATGGGTATTATTTGAGGGTTGGCTGTGATTAATTAAAGGTGTGCCTTGTAGACAACCATTACACACACTATAAATAAATTTTATATATATATACATATATATGTATATATATATATATGGAGAGAGAGAGAGAGAGACAGGGTCTTGCTCCATCACCCAGGCTGAAGTGCAGTGGCCCAAAACAGCTCACTACAGCCTTGACTTCCCAGGCTCAAGCAATCCTCCCCACCTCAGCCTCCTGAATAGCTGGGACTACATGTGTGGGCCCCCATGCCTGGCTGCTTTTGAAATGGTTTCTTGTAGAGACAGGATCTCGCCGTGTTATCCAGGCTGGTCTGGACCTCCTGCCCCCAGGCAATCCTCCAGCCTCGGCCTCTCAGAGTGTTGGGATTACAGGCATGAGCCACTGCACTCGGCTTACACATGTTTTTAAGAGGCATAAATACGAAGGTCAGTGTTGTCATGAGGTCAGGCAGGGGTGGGCAAACTATGGCCCACAATCCAGATGAAGCCCCCCTCCTACTGTGAATAAAGGTTTATTGGAGCCACAGTTCCTCCCCTGTGTTCACTTCTTGTCTGGGGCTGCTTTGGGGCTGCAGTGGAAAGCTGAGTAACTGCTGAGTAGGTGCAACAAAGACCACAGGGTCCACGAAGCCCAAGATGCTTACTACCAGGTCCTTTGCAGAAAAATCTTGCTGAGCCCTGGGGAGGGGCCAGGTGGCACCAGGGAGGCCATTGGGGAGGCTGGTACAGTAATCCAGGTGAAAAATGAAGGGAGCTCAGATTAAAGCGGTCATGACAAATGGCTGGAATCAGGATATATTTTGGGGGTATGACCAATATATGGATAAAATGGACAGTATTTAGAGTTTCAGATTTTCTTTCTGCCAAAGGATCCCTTTCTTAAACAAAAAAATTATACAAAAGATCAATTAAAAAACTGACCAGGCCAGGCGCGGTGGCTCACACCTGTAATCCCAGCACTTTGGGAGGCCGAGGCGGGCAGATCATGAGGTCAGGAGATTGAGACCATCCTGGCTAACATGGTGAAAGCCCGTCTCTACTAAAAATACAAAAAAAAAAATTAGCCATGCGTGGTGGCGGGCACCTGTAGTCCCAGCTACTTGGGAGGCTGAGGCAGGAGAATGGCATGAACCCAGGAGGTGGAGCTTGCAGTGAGCAGAGATCAGGCCACTGCACTCCAGCCTGGGCGACAGAGCAAGACTCTGTCTCAAAAAAAAAAAAAAAAAATTAACCAAAAATCATGTCAACAAGATTATTTGTGTGATTGAAGCTGGGGTTGAGCCTAGGCACCCTAACACCTTTTCAGCACCCCTAACACCCCGGCTGTTCCAGAAGCACCCTATAGAGCCCCTTGGGTTCAAGCAGAACTTGAAACCACAGATTGGAAGGAATAGAAATCTGCGTATCTTTCACACAAGCCGTAACATTCTAAGCTGCATCTTTGCAGCACACTGACATGGGGCTACTTCACCCACAGCCGGCAAGCAACTGCACCAGTGCTGGGATTTGTGTCCACCGTTATAAGAAGGCAGCTGCTTGCATGAGGCATGGCGGTGAGGAAACAATGCCACCCGGATTTCACCATTGGCCGTGTGGACTGGCTGTACCATGGGCCAGACGCATGTCTTGGGCAGACACTTTTTAGATGCCAACTTGCCTGTAGACAAAGATGACGCAGAGGTGGCCTCAGGGAGGGCCTATGTGGTGGGTTGAATTTGTCCCCTGAAATTCCTATGTTGATGTCCTTAGCCCCAGTGCCTGAGAATGTGATCTTATTTGGAGACAGCGTCTTATGGAAATAAGTTAAAATGAAAAATGAGATCAGTAGGGGGTGCCCAATTCAATATGACTGATGTCCTTATAAAAGGGCAAATTTGGACACAGAGACATGCATAGAGGGAAGACCAGGTGAAGAGACACCGGGAAGGCCACCTACACGCCAGGAGAGAGACCTGGAACAGAGCCTTCCCGCACCGCCCTGGAAAGGGACTTTCCCTGCCGACACCTTGATCTTGGACCTACAGCCTCCAGGACTGTGAGACAGTGAGATTCTGTTGCTGAAGCTGCCCAGTCTGTGGTACTTTAAGGAAGCCCTAGCAAACCAATGCAGCCTGGTAGCCCACAGCTGGTGAAAAGATGGAATGAGCGATGGAGACTCAGGCTTCCTGTCTATACCTCCCAAAGTGCACTATGGGATCTTTTGCTGGGTGTAGGTTTGCAAGATAGTTCTGGCCAGGGTGGGGACGGCGGGGTGCAGGGTGCATAATTTCAGTGTATATTATCATATGTTTATCTTACTGTGTAAATGCTTGTAAGAACAGTTAACCAACTTAAAGTTTATATGCTACTCAAGATACAGGTTTAAATGCTAATAAAAATGGATGCAAATGAAAACACTGTCCTGCTGTGGTCCAGGGAATCTTGATCTTTCCTTCAGAGAGACTTGCAGCTTTGAGCAGGAGCTGCCCTTTCCTTGCTGCCTACTGCATGCTCCCACAACACACATGCACACACACATGCCTTTGCACACAGCTGGACACACGCATACTGTGCTTCATGCCCTCATTAAGGAGGCACAGAAGGGAATGTATCTGTTAGGAAATGAAGACGGCTCAACTCCCTGGTTCCCTGGGTGTTTGCACAGGTGCCCTCTGTGCAGACCATTCTTTGGTCTCTTTCTTCTCTTAGTGAAGGGAGAAGCAGAGCCCCAGTGGGTACCCGGCTACTTTGGGCCCAAGCCAAGGTCACAAGCTTCCTTGGGAGCCTGGTGAGATGGGGGCACCACTGGTCCTCCCGAACCGAGGGGGCAGCGTTCAGTGGAGCCATGAGCCCAGGAAGGTGATAGACAGGATGACTCAGTTCATTAGAAACAACCAAAATCCAGTGAGGAAGGGCAGCCCTCAAAGGTTTTATTCTCCAGGAGGAAGGACTCTCAGGGGCTGCGAGCAGCAGGCACGAGGGCTTTATTGCACCTGCAGTTAGGTGATGGTGACCTACAACTGCACCGGAAACTGGGACCCAGAGTGCCCCGACCTCCTGCTCTGTCTCTCTCTCCCTCTCTCCCTTTCTCCCCCTCTGCCTCTCTGGCTTCTCTGTCTCTCTTGTCATCTCTTGCCCCTTTCCCCATCTCTGTTTCTCTCTCTCTGCTCTCTCCATCCTCCTCTCCCTCTCAGCCTCCTCTGTCTCTCCCCCATCTCTTTCTACCCATCTTTCGCTGCTGCCTCCTCTGCAGACGAGCTGAAGCCAGTGAGTGGGAGGAGCACCACCCAATCCATCCACAGAGAGCTGAGGCTGGGCCCCAGAGAACCGGGTGGTCCAAGGGAGGCCCAGTGCCCCCTGCACCACACCCACTGGAAAAGGAAGCCCCAGCTCTATTCTGTTTTGTTTTAACAGACAGGGTCTTGCTCTGTCACCCAGGCTAGAGTGCAGTGGAGTGATCACAGCTCACTGCAGCCTCGACTTCCCGGGCTCAAGTGATCCTCTCACCTCAGCCTCCCAAGTAGCTCTGACTACAGGCATGCACCACTACATCCAGATAATTTTTGTATATTTTTTGTAGAGACAGGATTTCGTCATGTTGCCCAGGCTGGTCTCCAACTCCTGGGCTCAAGTGATCCACCCGCCTCGGCCTCCCAAAGTGGTAGGATTGCAGGCATGAGGTATTGCACCAGGATTTTTTTTTTTTTAAGACAGAGTCACAGTCTGTCACCCAGGCGGGAGTGCAGTGGTGTGATCATGGCTCACTGCAGCCTCAAACTCCTGGGCTCAAGCAATAGGCACGAGCCACCATGCCTGGCTAGTTTTTATTTTTATTTTTTATAGAAACAAGATCTCCCTATGTTGCCCAGGCTGGTCTGGAACTACTGGGGTCAAGCAATTCTCCTGGCTCGGCCTCCCAAAGTGCTGGAATTACAGGTGTGAGCCACCACACCTGGCCCCCATGAAATATTTATACCACAGATATGCTGTATACAGCTTAGGTGCTGTATGTGGATCTGTACTTCATGCATAAAAACAGTTACTTTTCTGCCATTAAGAACGAATTTTCACCCCCCTGGGAACGGCTTCACCCTGTTGAGAATGTGCCCATGCCTTTCCTTCCCTCTGGGACCGAGTGGCAACCACACAGCTCTATTTTATTTTATTTTTTAGGTGGAGTCCCTCTTTGTCACCCAGGCTAGAATGCAGTGGACCATTCTCGGCCCACTGCAACCTCCGCCTCCTGGGTTCAAGCGATTCTCCTGCCTCAGCCTCCTGAGTAGCTGGGATTACAGGCGCGTGCCACCACCTCTAGCTAATTTTGGTATTTTTAGTAGAGACAGGGTTTCACCATGTTGGCCAGGCTGATCTCGAACTCCTGACCTCAAGTGATCGGCCAGCCTCAGCCTCCCAAAGTGCTGGGATTACAGGTGTGAGCCACCGCGACTTGCCAGCTCTGTCTAGTTGAGAGGTGCAGTGCCTCTCCTGTGGGCCGGTGTGCTGTGGGACCTCCCGCCCTGCCGCCCTGCCGCCCTGCCGCTGCCCGAGGGCTCACCCGGCTGTAGTCCTCCACGTGCTGGAGCTGGGTCTCCTGGCAGATGCACAGGTTCAGGAAGTTCTGCCACTCCATCTTCAGGGCCTCCTGGTGGGCCTGGGTACCGCAGCACGGAGCCCTCGGACCACGCCCCGCCCCCGCACCCACGTCCACCCCCCCCTTCCCCGCCCACCACGTCCCTTCTCACTCTCGCCCTGCCCCCAGCGCACCTGGATGGGCCCCACCGCGGGGTGCCGCAGCTCCACCATGCGCTTGCCGTCCTCCTCCAGCTGGTTTACGCTCTGCTCCTGGCTCAGCAGCTCGTGCTGCTTGAAGTGCTGGGGGCGAGTCGGGTGGGGAGCGGCGGTGAGGACCAGGATGGCCCTGGTCGCCCCCGCCTGGCCCCAACCTCTGCCAGCCGACCTCGTATTCCCGCCGCACGCCCGCAGGGTCGGCCATGAGGTCGCTCCAGTCCTGCTGCAGGATGCGGCGCTGCTGCTCCGCCAGGGCGCTCAGCTGCCACGTGCAGCCCTGCAGTGCGTGTACAGGCTGCCCAGGCTCTGCCCGCGCCACGACGCCGCCCTCTGTGCTCAGGACCCGCCGCCAGCAGCAGGGTGGGGAGAGAGAAAGTGGGGGGCAAAAGGCGCCATTGGGCGGCGCTCAGGAACACTGGCCCCGGGCAGGGTCCGGGCGGCCACCCAGGCCCACCTGCAGCCACCCTGCCCGACCCTCCCTCCTGCTCACCAGTAGGTCTCGGTATTGGCTCCGGATGGTGGCGGCATCCTGCCTTGACCAAGGGGAGAAACAAGCCCGTGAGAGGTGGGGCACAGGGAGACGGCCCCCTAAGATCTGGGCAAGCCATACCCCACCCACCCCTATCCCCAGGGCCCAGCCGATCTAGCTCCGGCTCTGACTGGAAAAACAGGGGCTGGGGCTGGCCCCGGATGTAACATCTTCCCGGCTCACCCACCGGCCCCACCAGGCTCCGCAGCTGCTCTCCTTGGTCGTTGATCTCCTTCTGCACGATGTTGAGCTCCGCGATCTGTTCCTCCAGCTCCGCCATGCCCGGCCCATACTGGCCTGCGCAGACCAGCTTCTGCAGGAGAGCCGGCGGCTCAGTCACCACAGGACCAGGGTGGAGAGCCAGAGAACCCCACACGTCTCCCACCCGGAGAAGTGGACTTGGTCATTTGGGCAGAGCGTGGACGAGCCTGAGAGCAGCCCGGGTGCACGCCCTGCAGCTCACCCAGGGTGAGCCATTCTGCTCTGCAGGGTGGCCACTGCAGAGGCCATTCTGCAGTGGCCCCTGAGTCCCACTGGTTCCCAGACGCTGGGCTCAGCCTCAGAAGTCTCCAGCTCCATCCTGCCTTGTCTGTGACCCAGCCTCAGTGCTTCCTGCCTGGACACCTCCAGCCAAGCTCTAGGGCCCTCAGAACGCCCTGCTGCACCCGGGCCCTTCCCCACTGTTCCTCTATTGTCATGATGACACCCCTTCTGTGTGGCATCAAAGCACAACTCCTCAACCAGGGATCAGAATGCCCCATGTCCTGGCTCTGCCCACCTGGCCAGAAATCCCCACTTCCCATCGAATCCTAGGCTTCCTCCTGGCAGGTGCCTTTGCTCCTTCTTTCTGGAATTGTCCTCTCCTCACTACTTCACCCTGACCCAACCGAGCCCTCTCACCCCTCTGAGGTCTCTTCATGTGCCTCCTCCTACAGGAAGTCTTCCCTGACTGCACTGTCTCCTCTGCTGTCTCCCTGCCCAGACCCCTGAGACACCACTATACACTGACTGTTCAAGCCTACAGTCAGGCCCTGGGTTAAATGCAGTTCCGTATCACCCTCTGATCACACTGGGGTGTGACTTTGAGCTCCTGACCTGTTTCTGCTCCAGCACGTGTGCCCAGTCGACCTTGGATCCCACGTCGGGGCGGCAGCACCATCTTCTCGTACAGGGCACAGTACTCCGCACACTCCTGGGTCACCCGCTCGTGCAGCTGCTCGATGCTGTCAAGAAGGTGGCCAGCAGGTCAGGGCTGGGCCTGGGTCTTCCCCAGGGACCCCCAGCCCTGCCGCAGCCCCACTCACTCCTTCTCAGTCTCCTCAGCCTGCGGGTGCTTGAGCCGCCGGGCCTTGTCCACGTCCAGGAAGAGGTCCTTGAGCAGCACCTCGGCCTCCTTCAGGCTGCTGCCCGTCTCCTGCTGGTGCTGCAGGGCCTGGCTCTGCTCACTGTTCAGCCGGTCCTGTGGGCAGGGGATGGGCAGACTTGCCAGGGTCCAGAGCCCCCACACCCCTGCTGCCCATCATTGTGGGCCTGAGCCCCACCTTTGGGACCCCAGCTATGCTGGCCAACCTCGAGGCCCACGCCAGGCACAGGGTCAGGCCCAGGGCGTCCATGAGGCAGGTGACAAAGACACAGGGGAGCCCAGCAAAGAAGGAAGTTGAGCCCTCTCTCCCACCGTGTGTTAGGGGACAGGCGGTGCAGGACAAATGTCATCTGTCCCATCTTCACCATCACCAGGGGGCACTCAGGGAGTGCCAGGCCTGATGATGGGCCTCCCATGCCACCCAGCCTGCCCACACCCTGCCAACTGCTGCCGGGTTCTCACCTGCTGCAGCCTCTTCTGCGTCTCCAGGATGTCCCGCTCCACCTGGTCGGCGCTGGCTTGCATGTGGGAGATGAGCAGGGTCAGCTCCTGGGTGGCATTCTTGGTGGGTGGAGGGGACAGTGGGCAGCTCGGTGGAAGAGGCCCCTCTGTGCCCCATCCAGGTGGCGTCCCCTGCCCTCTCTCCACCCCATCCCGCCCCCACAGCCTAGCACACTGCCCTGACTTTGGGGTCTCTCTCTGCAGGAGGCTCTGTGAGCTAGACCTGGTTGGGGGTGTTAGCACTGCCCCGCCACATGAGGGGTCAAAAGGTGAGGGTCTCAGGTCTGTGTGGTGCTGGGTGTCAGGCGGCCTCGGTGTCCCAGCCTCAGCCAGCTGTGCTGGCAGTGAGTTCCCGACCCCACCCAGCTGCCTGCCACTTCCCCCCTGTGAGCCGGTAGTACCTGAGCCAGCCTGGCTGGGCCCTGGGAGGGGCAGTTGGGCTGGCTGGGGCAGGGAGGCAGCAGCATGCCCCCCACCCCCACCTCCTCCCACTCCAGCCCTGTGTTCCCCTATACCTCCTCCACCCCAGGGAGCTTTGCCAGAGTGCTGGCTTCAGCAGCCGTCTAGAGGAGCCTCACACTGTCAGAGTCGGGGAGCGGGGGCAGGCGCAAGAGACTGCTGGGCACCCTAACATTCTCCAGAGTTGAGGGTTCAAAGCCCAGATTGTGCCCTAACTTGCTCTGAGTTACGTGGTCAGGGACGGAGGGGAAACCTTGCTTCCACCCCAGGGCTTTTTCTGTGCATTCGCCCTGCAGCCTCCATAGAGCACCTGCTGTGTGCATGCAGTCACTCTGTGGAGGTCACAAGGCCAAGCAGACCTAAAAGAGGGCAGATTGGTCCAAGCCTTATGAGCACAGTGCCTTATGGGGGATCATTATCCTGGGGCAGGGGAAGCCTTGAACTGGGTCAAAGGATGGGCCCCCCCAGGCAACGGGACAGTGCTGGTGAAGGCACAGCAGTCTGGAAGAACTCTGTGGCCAAGACAGCCTGGTTTCATCTTTCTCCATCATTAATGCTGTGTGACCTTGGGCAAGTTACTCAACCTCTCTGTGCCTGAGGTTCCTCACTCGTAAAGCAGGATTTTAATAAAAATATCTATGCCTTAGGGCTATTGTGAGCATTAATTGAATTTATCTGTCTGAAACATCCAGTGCAGGCCTGGTGCAGAGTCGGCACCCAGCACGTGTTAGTTTTTATCCCACTAGAGGGCTAGTGCCTTGAAGGCAGGGGCCTGTTGGTTCTGTCTACAGCGACATCTCCAGTGCCTAGAACAGTCCTGGCATGCAGTAAGTGCTCAGTAAGTTCATGTCAAACGAGTGGATCGCACGTGAGGTGATCCAGAGCCAACAGGGCCCTGAGGACTGAGCTGCCCCAGGCCAGGAGCACACTGCTGGGGAGCCTGCCTGGACAGTGGGAGCTGCAGGTGCTGGGCCCTGGGCACTCCTGCTCAGGTCCCGCCTCCTGGGATGGCTGCTCCCACCAGGAGCTGCACACTCCACCCTGGGTGGGGCTCAGGTGCCCCAGGGAGGACAGGTCACTCAGTGAGAGTGTTAGCTGAGAGTCTTAACCACTGTCTTTCCCGTCGGCCCAGACGCCCAGACTCGGTGTCTGTTGGTGCCTTGATCCCTATCGGGGTAATGGGCACCCCCACTCCCACACCAGCTTTTCATCCCTGAGCTTATCTCGACACCCTGGACCCAGGCGGGCTGCTGCCTCCTCTGCAGATGAGCTGAAGCCAGTGAGTGGGAAGAGCGCCACCCAATCCATCCACAGAGAGCTGAGGCTGGGCCCCAGAGAACCGGGTGGTCCAAGGGAGGCCCAGTGCCCCCTGCACCACACCCACTGGAAAAGGAAGCCCCAGCTCTATTCTGTTTTGTTTTAACAGACAGGGTCTTGCTCTGTCACCCAGGCTAGAGTGCAGTTGAGTGATCACGGCTCACTGCAGCCTCGACTTCCCGGGCTCAAGTGATCCTCTCACCTCAGCCTCCCAAGTAGCTCTGACTACAGGCATGCACCACTACATCCAGATAATTTTTGTATATTTTTTATAGAGATGGGATTTCGTCATGTTGCCCAGGCTGGTCTCCAACTCCTGGGCTCAAGTCATCCACCCGCCTCAGCCTCCCAAAGTGGTAGGATTGCAGGCATGAGGTATTGCACCAGGATTTTTTTTTTTTTTAAAGACAGAGTCACAGTCTGTCACCCAGGCAGGAGCGCAGTGGTGTGATCATGGCTCACTGAAGCCTCAAACTCCTGGGCTCAAGCAATAGGCATGAGCCACCATACCTGGCTGTTTTTTATTTTTATTTTTTTTATAGAAACAAGATCTCCCTATGTTGCCCAGGCTGGTCTCAAACTCCTGGGCTCAAGGAATCCTCCCGCATTGGCCTCCTAAAGTCAGGGATTATAGGCGTGAGCTACCGCGCCCAGCCATGAACCCCTAACTCTTCAATACAACAAGGCCCTGGGTGAGAGCTCTGGGGAGGGCTCTGGCTTAGGCAGGAGGCAGCACAGCCCCTGCATCCCTACCCCAGGGATCCCACCCCACCCCCTCAGTCCTCATGCCCTGCACCCAGGCTCCAGGGGTCATCCCAGCCAAGTAGAGCCTTGGGGCAGAGCTGCAGTCACACAACCAGGCTCTCCTGTGTCCCAGCCTCTGGCAGAGGAGGGCATCAGTGCAGGCTCCTGTCCGGCACTTCTCCCGCTGAGCAGCATCAATCTGTGGCCCACAGGCCCCCTTAGAGGATGTAGGGAGCCCCAGGCCATCCCCTGCCTCCTGCCAGGGCTGAAGTTCGGCCTGGGCCTGCGGCTCCCAAGGCAGGGAGAGAGTCCACCCCTGGGCCCTTTGTCCTCGGGACACCAAATGCCAGCACGGGGCTGGTCCTGGGCTCTGGGCCGCCGCCAGGTGGCTCAAGGACCTGGGCCTGGCACCACCCCCACCCTAGCTCCCTGGCTCCCCATCCCCTAGTCCCACTCACCAGCTGTGCTTGCTGGGGGAGCCTTTGGGGGACCCCTTGGCTGGGGAGTCCTTGGGGGACCCCTTCCCCTGGGAGCCTTTGCTCAGTCCCTTGAACATGGTCATAAAGGCAGGTGCTGGCTCAGGCTGGGCTTGGCTGGTGAAGGAGGGCAGGAGGGCAGGTGGGAGGCAGCGGGCGTCCTTGCTGGCTGGTCAGCTAAGTCTGGCAAGGTGGGGCGGCTGGGCATTGGGGAAGGGAGTTTCTGGGAGGCCCCTCCTTGCAGGTGAGGCAGCAGGCGGCCAGGCCCCAGGCCTGCCGCGCATGCACCCACAAAAACCACACTCATGCCTGCTCTTGCATAACCAGTCTGGGAGGAAAGGGCACAGCCTTGAGGGTGGGGCCGAGCCTGCCCGACTCCCACAGAAGGTTTGGACTTGTTACACCCACATGCCCAGGGGAGCGCGGTGGCGATTACACCCAGATAGGGAAGGAGCTGGGCCAGGACAGATGGGTCTGGAGACAGACGTGCACATGCAGGCGCAGGCTCAGCGGAGAGGCCCCAGCTCTGGAGCTCAGGATTAATAAACATCTCCAGCCAGCTCAGAGGCCCTGCTGCCAGGCTGGCCCCCACCCACAGCTCTCAATCCCCCAGGAGAGGAGGGGGTGTCCTGCCAGCCCAGGGCCTGGCTCTGTGTTCTCCACTGACATGATGGGGCAGCCAGGGGACGTTCACTCCAGACAACTGGCACAAGGTCCATTTTTTTTTTTTTTAAGAGACAAAGTCTTGCTCTGTCACCCAGGCTGGAGTGCAAAGGCACGATCTCGGCTCACTGCAACCTCTGCCTGCCGGGTTCAAGCGATTCTCCTGCCTCAGCCTCCCAAGTAGCTGGGATTACAGGTGTCCGTCACCACGCCCAGAAAATTTTTGTATTTTTAGCAGAGAAGGGGATTCACCATGTTGGCCAGGCTGGTCTGGAACTCCTGACCTCAAGTGATCCACCCGCCTTGGCCTCCCAAAGTGCTGGGATTACAGGCATGAGCCACCATGCCCGGCCCCATTTTATAAAGTGTGCACAGTGCAGCAGCACCAGGGCTGGCTTCAGGTGCCACTAAGCCTGGGCTCTGGCTGAGGCCCGGGAGCCCGATGCACTTGGCTTTTCCTACCTGCCTCTTCCGCCACCCAGAAATGGCCCCTGGTGGCTTTTATGAAGTCAGATTGAGTGGCAGAGAGTGATGCCAGCTTATTGGTCTTTTCCTCACACTGGGGACCAGGGCTGCTGCCTTTTCCTTCTGTGGTGACCCTCAGCGTCTTCAAGAAAGGGGCGATGGGACCCCCCTTTCCAGGCGCTCATTTTACTGGCCCAGCGTAACAGGCCCCTTCTGCAGAGGTGGCGTCGCTTTCCAGGTCATTCCTGAAATCCCCGTGGTTTTAGTGGAAGGAGGGCTTGAGGGGGAGCCAGGGGATGGAACAGGCGGACTGGGTGACATCACCTGGTCATCCTGGCAGGCCTCGCTGAGGACAAAACAGCCTGGCAGGAGAGAAAGGTCCCAGCAGATGGGGGAGACCAGGGACCGACACCTGATACTGGCCTCAGGCCCCCATGGGATAGAAAAGGCCTGTGCCCTTTTTGGGTGAATCTCATGGGAAGCTCCTGAACTCGGCCATGGAGAGGGGATGCAGTAAACCCCCATTCCTAGAGGTGGAGGAGCTGACAGGGGCAGTGGGGGTGGGGAGGGCAGCAGAGGCCCCTGACAGCAATGAGGAAACAAAGTGGTCTCCAGTGTCCTCAGCTCCCGGCCCATGTCTTGAGTGAGATGCCAATAGAGATGACTGGCCACTCAGCCTCTGCCCCAGCCTGCTCCCACTTTATTCCTGGTGACACTTGTCTTCTAACCACTCATTGTACGCCTGCAATCAACTGTCTTCAGAAAGGAGCCGTTTGTGTGAATGACTATGGGGGCCAACGCCAGCCTCACCCCTGGCCTCCCTGACTCACCTTTTCTTTTCTTTTTTTTTTTTTTTTTTGAGACAGAGTCTCGCTCTGTCTCCCAGGCTGGAGTGCAGTGGCACCAACTCAGCTCACTGTAACCCCTGCCTCCCAGGTTCAAGCAATTCTCCTGTCTCAGCCTCCTGAGTAGCTGGGACTACAGGTGCACACCACCACACCCAGTTAATTTTTGTATTTTTAGTATAGATGGGGTTTCAGCATGTTGGCCAGGCTGGTCTCGAACTCCTGACCTCAGGAGATTCGCCCACCTCAGCCTCCCAAAGAGCTGGGATTACAGGCGTCAGCCACCGAGCCCGGCTGCTTCACCTTTGAGCTTGGCCCCTCCCTGGGAGGTGGCAGTCATTGGAAGTGGGGCCCTGGGGAGAGGAAGGGAGAGGGAGAAGAGGAAGTCAGAGCGAGACAACATGAGGAGGACAATACTTGCCTTTGCTGAGTCTGAACAGGGAGGAAGGGCCCACAAGCCAAGGAATGCTGGTGGCCTCTAGAAGCTGTAATAGGCAAAAAAAAAAGAAAAAGAAAGGATTCTTCCCTAGAGCCTCCAGAATAAATGCTGCCTAGCTTACACCTCGATTTTAGTCCAGTGAGACCCATTTCCGATTTCTGACATCAAAAACTGTAAGTAATGTAAACTGCATTATTTTAAGCCACCAAGTTCATGGTAATTTGTTACAACAGCAATAGGAAATGTATACAGTGGGTCATGGAGCCTGGGGTGTGAAGTAGAGGAGAGGGAAGTCGGATTATTTGGCTAGGCTTCATGTTAATGAAAGAGGTTACAGCAGTCATTCCAATCGAGGTAGTATTCTGTTGCTGGATCACCACACCTGTAGGGTATTGTGAACTGGAATGCCATTCTAACAATTATACTTATTTTATAAAACACTCCAATATATTGTGTTGTATATTTTGTGTAACAGGTGTTAAATTTAGTCGATGTAAAAAATTAAAATAATCTTTATAATCTTTTTTTTTTTTTTTTTTGGAGACAGAGTCTCGCTCTGTGGCCCAGGTTGAGTGCAGTGGCACCATCTCGGCTCACTGCAACCTCTGCCTCATGGGTTCTCCTGCCTCAGTCTCCCGAGTAGCTGGGACTACAGGCGCATGCCACCACACCTGGCTAATTTTTGTATTTTTAATAGAGATGAGGTTTCACTGTGTTGGCCAGGCTGGTCTTGAACTCCTGACCTCAGGTAATCCACCCACCTCAGCTTCCCAAAGTGTTTTTTGTATTTTAGTAGAGACGGGGTTTCACCATGTTGGCCAGGCTGGTCTTTAACTCTTGACCTCAAGTGATCCACCCACCTCAGCCTCCCAAAGTGCTGGGATTACTGGTGTGAGCCACCGCACCCGGCCTAATCTTTAAAACACAAACGAGGCTGAGGTGGGAGGATCACTTGAGTCCAGAAGTTCAAGACCAGTCTGGGCAACATAGCAAGACCCCATCTCCACAAAAAATTTTCAAAATTACCTGGGCATGGTGGTACCTACCTGTAATCTCAGCTACTTAGGAGGCTGAGGTGGGAAGATCGTCTGAGCCTCGGGGGTTGAGGCCGCAGTGAGTCATGATCATACCACTGCATTCCAGCTAGGCGACAGACTGAGATTTTGTCTCAAAACCAACAAACAAAACACACACACAAACAACACAAATTATCATTTTATCATTCTGGTGATTGGAAGTGCAAAATGAGTTTCACTGGGCTAAAACGAAGGTGTCGGTAGGACTGCATTCATTTTGAAGCTCTAGAGGAAATCATTTCTTTGCCTTTTCCAGCCTTTAGAGGCCACTTATACTGTCTGGCTTGTGGTGACGTCCTCAGCCTTCAAGACCAGCTATCGTATCACTCTAATCTGCAGTTCCATCATCCCATCTCCCCCCTGACTCTTCTCCTTCTTCTTCATCTGTTCAGGAATCCTGTTCTTAACATTGAGCCCACCTGAATTATCCAGGATATTCCCCTTATTTTAAGATCTGTAATTGAATCACATCTGCACAACCCCTTTTGCCATATAAGTAACATATTCATTCACAGGTTCCGGGGATTAGGAACATCTTTGGGAGGCCATTATTGGGTGGACATCTTTGGGAGGCAATTATTCAACTACCACATGAATTTTTTAAGGTTTGTTTTTTTGTTATCTCCTTATTGAGCTTTTAAGAATTTTTTTTTTTTTTTTTTTTTTTTTTTTTGTGAGATGGAGTCTCACTCTGTCTCCCAGGCTGGAGTGCAGTGGCGCAATCTCGGCTCACTGCAAGCTCCACCTCCCGGGTTCACATCATTCTCCTGCCTCAGCCTCCCAAGTAGCTGGGACTACAGGCGCCCGCCACCATGCCCGGCTAATTTTTTGTATTTTTAGTAGAGACGGGGTTTCACCGTGTTAGACAGGATAGTCTCAATCTCCTGACCTCGTGATCCGCCCACCTCGGCCTTCCAAAGTGCTGGGATTACAGGCATGAGCCACAGCACCCGGCCAATTTTTGTATTTTTTAGTAGAGATGGGGATTCACCATGTTGGCCAGGTTGGTTTCAAACTCCTGACCTCAAATGATCCACCCACCTCTGTCTCCCAAAGTGCTGAGATTACAGGCATGACTCACCACGCCCGGCCTTTTTTTTTTTTTTTTTTTTTTGAGATGGAGTATCTGTTGCCCATGTTGGAGTGCAGTGGTGCTATCTCGGCTCACTGCAGTCACCACCTTCTAGGTTCAAGCAATTCTCCTGCCTGGGCCTCCCAAGTAGCTGGGATTACAGACACCAGCCACTGCCCAGCTAATTTTTGTGTTTTTAGTAGAAACAGGTTTTTGCCATCTTGGCCATGCTGGTCTCGAACTCCTGATCTCACGTGATCTGCCCACCTCAACCTTCCAAAGTGCTGGGATTACAGGCATGAGCAACGAGGCCAGCCCTGCCCCTACTTTTTCTTTCTTTTTTTTTTGAAATGGAGTCTTGCTCTTGTCACCCAGGCTGGAGTGCAATGGTACAATCTTGGCTCACTGCAACCTCTGCCTCCTGGGTTTAAGTAATTCTCCTGCCTCAGCCTCCTGAGTAGCTGTGATTACAGGCATCTGCCACCACACTGGCTAATTTTTGTATATTTAGTAGAGATGGGGTTTCACCATGTTGGTCAAGCTAGTCTCGAACTTCTGACCTTAGGTGATCCACCTGTCTCTGCCTCCCAAAGTGCTGGGATTACAGGTGTGAGCCACTGTGCACACCCAGCCCCTACTTTTTCTTACCACAAAGAATCCAGTCCAAGTATGAAGCCAACCCATGGGGGAGGGCAGAGTTGAAAGAACAGTTCCAAAATGGAGTCGAAGCCCTGATCAAGCAATTCCTGAATTCCAGTGATAACAACTAGAATTTTCCAGTTACCTGAGGCAATAAATTATCTTTATTATTTAAAACAGGTTTGTTTGTTTGTATATTTACAGAACACATTTACTCTGCTATGTGTCTGAAACTGTTTTAAACACTTTACACATGTTAATTCATTCAAACTTACAAGAACCCAGTGAGGTAGGTCCATTTATTCATATTTTACACATGAGCAAACTGAAATGGAGGGACATTAAGCAACTTACCACCATCAATAGCTAATGTATGTTAGAATTGGGTTCTGAACTGACTCACCTTGGCCACTGAGTTCCTGCTCTTAATTATCACACTGCTTTTAAGTGGGTTCTCCAGTGGCATACCCTGAATTAGTAATTTGATACAAGTAGTTTATTTGGGAGATGATCTTTTTTGTTTGTTTGTTTTGTTTTGTTTTTGAGGAGTCTCACTCTGTCACCCAGGCTGGAGTGCAGTGGTGCGATCTCGGCTCACTGTAACCTCTGCCTCCTGAATTTAAGAGATTCTCCTGCCTCAGCCTCTTAAGTAGTTGGGATTACAGGCACGCACCACCACGTTTGGCTAATTTTTGTATTTTTAATAGAGACAGGGTCTTACCATGTTGACCAAGCTGGTCTCCAACTCCTGGCCTCAGGTGATCCACCCACCTTGGCCTCCCAAAGTGCTGGGATTACAGGCGTGAGCCACTGCCTGTGGCCTTGGGAGATGATCTTGAGAAACAGTGACAAGGGAGTAGGATGGGGAAAATAGTCACCAACAGCATTGTTATCAAGTAAATTACTGCTACAGGTAACTGGGTCTTAATCCTGTTGAGGAATTCTGGGAGACAGGGTAGAACACATGTGTTATCTGTTGACGCTTAATGAACCACCCCAAACTTAACGGATTTTTTTTTCTTTAGAAATGTCGCTGAGTCATAACATGGTATGAAACTATCATTAATTGTTTATTATGTCTCTTGGTTCTGGTGATTGCCTCGGCTAGCTAAATGGTGTTTGCCTTGGGTCTTTCTTGTGGTTACTGTCAGATGGAGGGTGGAGACGGAGACCACAGGTGAAGACCACTCCCATGTCTGATGGCCGGTGCTGTCTGTCAGCTGAGACCTCAGTGGGGCTTTCAGGTAGCCTCTGTGTGTGGACTGGCCCTCCTCACAGGATGGTGGCAGGGTTCCAAGAGTGAGTTTTCCAGAGAGAGTGGACACTGCTCATGACCTAGCCTTGAAGTTCACACAGTGTCACTTCTGTTGCATTCCATTTCTTTCTTTTCCTTTTCTCTTCTCTTCTTTCTCCTCCTCCTCCTCCTCCTTCTTCCTTTCTCTCTCTGTCTCTTTTTTGAGATGGAGTCTCACTCTGTTGCCCAGGCTGGAGTGCAATGGCATGATCTCGGCTCACTGCAACCTCCGCCTCCTGGGTTCAAACGATTCTCCTGTCTCAGTCTCCTGAGTACATGGGATTACAGGCATGCACCACGACGCCCAGCTAATTTTTGTATTTTCAGTAGAGACGAGGTTTCACCATATTGGTCAGGCTGGTCTCAAACTCCTGACCTCATGATCTGCCCACCTCGGACTCTCAAAGTGCTGGGATTACAGGCATCAGCCACCGCGCCCGGCTCCCTCCCTCCCTCCCTTCCTTCCTTCCTTTTCCTTCCTTCCCCTTATCCTTCCTTCCTTCCCCTTCTCCTTCCTTCCTTCCTTTCTTCCTGTCTTTCTCTTTCTTTCTTTCCTTTTTTCCTTTCTCTTTCTCTCTTTCTTTCAAGACAGGGTCTCACTCTCCCAGAAATAAACCCACACAATTATGGCCAACTGATTTCTGACAAAGGGGACAAGGACAGTCTCTTCAGGTACAAAGAGGGAAAAAAACAGCCACTTTAATCAACAGTATTGGTAAAATTGTATACCCACATGCAGAAGAAATTGGATCCTTATCTTACACAGTGTATAAAAATCAACTTCCTTGTTTCTTTATTTAAAATTTTTTTATTTTAAAATTTATTTTAAAAGGCAGGGTCTCACTCTGTTGCCCAGGCTGAAATGCAGGGGTGCAATCTTGGCTCACTGCAGCCTCAACTTCCCAGATTCAAGAGGTCCTCCCACCTCAGCCTCCCAAGTAGCTGAAAATGTAGGCATGCTCCATCATGCCTGGCTGATTTTTGTATTTTTTGTAGAGACAGGGTCTCACCATGTTGCCCAGGCTGGTCTCAAAGTCCTGAGCACAAAGGATACACATGCCTCAGCCTCCTGGGATTACAGGCGTGCGCCATCACACCCGGCCGCATTCCATTTCTTTGTGTTTGTTTGATGTTTGTTTGTCTGTTTGAGACAGGGTCTCACTCTGTTGCCCAGGCTGGAGTGCAGTGGCACGATCTCAGCTTACTGCAACCTCTGCCTCCTGGGTTCAAGCAATTCTTCTGCCTCAGCCTCCTGAGTAGCTAGGACTACAGCCGTGTGCCACCACACCTGGCTAATTTTTGTATTTTTGGTAGAGACAGGGTTTCACCTTGTTGGCCAGGCTGGTTTTGAACTCCTGACCTCAAGTGATCTGCCTGCCTCGGCCTCCCAAAGTGCTGGGATTACAGGCATGAACCACTGTGCCCACCAGCCTCATTCCATGTCTTAGGAGCCTGTCACCAAACCAGCCCTTACCGAGTGTGGCATTGGAGTCTACCTTTTGATGGGAGGAAGGTCAAGGTCCAAGACCAGTCTTGGAGTGTCTACCCCCAGATTGTGTTATGGGAGAGAGAAATAAACTCTTCTATTTTATAAATCACTGGTTTTTTGGGGTTTTTTTTCCTAATAGGTTGAGAATCTAATCCTGGTACCCCATCTTCTCTCCATCCTGAGAAAGCTTTGCCTGCTCTCCTTACTCTCATCATCATCAACCTCTTCACCTTAAGTGGGTTATATTAGAATTTTTATAAGAGCAGGAAAACTTTCCTTTTCAGTGGCGCCTTCTTTTATCCCAGCAGCCCAAAGCTCATGGGCAGCAAAGGTAAGCAGAAAACCTTTTGCTCTGAGAGGCAGGGGTGAGAGACATAAAGTCAGAAGAAAATTGGCCAGGCACGGTGGCTCACGCCTGTAATCCCAGCACTTTGGGAGGCTGAGGCAGGTGGATCATGAGGTCAGGAGTTCAAGACCAGCCTGGCCAACATGGTGAAACCCCGTCTCTACTAAAAATACAAAAAAATTAGCCGGGCGTGGTGGTGGGCGCCTGTAATCCCAGCTACTCGGGAGGCTGAGGCATGATAATTGCTTGAACCTGGGGGGGCAGGGGTTACAGTGAGCCGAGATCGTGCCACTGCACTCCAGCCCGGGTGACAGATCGAGACTTTCTCAAAAAGAAAAAAAGAAAGAAAGAAAATCAAACTAACAGCCACCTGTGTAGTGTAAGTCCAGTGAAATGCTTAGGTGTGTCATATGTTGTTTAACATCTGCTAGGACTCAACATTCCCCGAGGGCACAACCGGGGTCAGTGCAGTGGAATCCTCAGCACTTACAGGAGCCGGCGAGGGAAGAAATGACTACGCCCTTATCAGTGGACACAGACACTCTAAAACATATTTTATTTATGGCTGGGCATAGTGGTTCATGCCTGTAATCCCAGTGCTTTGGGAGGCTGAGACGGGAGGATTGCTTGAGGCCAGGAGCTTGAGACCAGCCTGAGCAACATTGCAAAATCCCATCTCTATCTCTACAGAAAATAAAAAATTAGCCAGGCGTGGTGGTATGTGACTGTAGTCCCAGCTACTTGAGAGGCTGAGGCAGAAGGATCACTTGAGCCCAGGAGTTTGAGACCAGCCTGGGCAACATCGTAGACTCTGTCTCTACAAAAAATTAAATTAAAAAAAATTAGCCAGGCACGGTGGTGCATACCTGTGGTCCCAGCTACTCGGGAGGCCAAGATGGTAGGATTGCTTGAGCCCAGCAGCTTGAGGCTGCGATAAACCATGATTGTGCCACTGCACTCCAGCCTGGGTGACAGAGCAAGACTTTGTCTCAAAAGAAAAAAAAAAGAAAGAAAAACACAAAGACAAAACACTACAAGAGGCAGAAAAAGAATGGAAGACAAAAATACAAACAAAGAAACAAAAGCAACAATTAGAAAACAGTAAAAAAAAAAAAGGCAGATATTAATCCAATTATATCAACAATTCCTTTGCATATCAATGGTCCAAATTAACCGATTAAAAGAGAGAGATTGGGCTGGGCGAAGTGGCTCACGCCTGTAATCCCAGCACTTTGGGAGGCCAAGGTGGGCGGATCACGAGGTCAGGAGATTGAGACCATCCTGTCTAACATGGTGAAACCCTGTCTCTACTAAAAATACAAAATATTAGCTGGGCGTGGTGGCGGGCGCCTGTAGTCCCAGCTACTTGGGAGGGTGAGGCAGGAGAAAGGCGTGAACCCAGGAGGCAGAGGTTGCAGTGAGCTGAGATCATGCCACTGCGCTCCAGCCTGGGCAACAGAGCAAGACTCCATCTCAAAAAAAAAAAAGAAAAAAAGAGAGAGATTGTCAGAGTACAGCAAAAAACAAGATGCAACTATATGCTCCTTGTAAGAACTACACTTTAAAGATGTATATATTAAAAGTAAATGGATAAAGAAAGATCTACTATGCCAACACTAATCAAAAGGAAGCAGGAGTCCCTATATTAATTTCAGACAGTACAGGCTTCAGGGCAAGGAAAGTCATCAGGAACAGGACAGGTGCTGGGTGGCTTCCCAGCACTTTGGGAAGCCAAGGCGGGCAGATCACTTGAGGCCAGGAATTCAAGACAAGCCTGGCCAACATGACAAAACCCTGTCTTTACTAAAAATACAAAAATTAGCTGGGCATGGTTGCACTCGACTGTAATCCCAGCTACTCCTCAGGCTGAGGCACGAGACTCACTTGAGCCTGGGAGGCAGAGGCTGCAGTAAGCTGAGATCATGCCACTGTACTCCAGTCTGGTTGACAGAGACTCTGTCTCAAAAAAAAAAAAAAAAAAAGAAAGAAAAGAAAAGAAAAAGAAAAAGGAAGGAAGGAAGGAAGGGAAAGAAAAGAAAGTTGTGAGGGATAAGGACAGGTCATTACATAATGATTAAGGAGTCAATGCTCAAAGAAGACATAACAGTCCTTAACATGTATGATCCTGACAACAGAACATCAAAATATGTGACTGAAAAAGTGACAGCGCTGCAAGGAGAAACTATTATAGTTGGCGACTTCAATGTCCCTCTATCAGAAACGGACAGATCCAGCAGGCAGAAAATCTGTAACTCAGTAACACCCTCTATAACTGGATATAATGGAAACCTATAGACTATTTCATACGATGACAGCAGAAAAAAAAGAAAAGAAAAACGCTTTGGTTTTTCCCGTATCTTAGGCTGGAGAGCAGTGGCACGATCACAGCTCACTGCAGCCTTGAACTCCTGGGCTCAGGAGATCCTCCCCACTCAGCACCCTGACTAGTTGGGAATACAGGTGTGCACTTCCACACCTGGCCAATTTTCTTTCTTTCTTTTTAATTTTTTTCATCATGTAGCACAAAATGTCATAATTTTTTTAATTTTAATTTTTCATAGAGATGGGATCTTGCTATGTTGCCCAGGCTACTCTTGAACTCCTGGCCTCAAGCAATCCTCCTACCTCAGCCTCCCAAAGTTCTAAGATTACAGGTGTGAGCCTGAGTCACCATGCCCAGCCACAAATAAAATATTTTTTAGCTGGGCGCGGTGGCTCACGCCTGTAATCCCAGCACTTTGGGAGGCCAAGGCGTGTGGATCATGAGGTCAGGAGATCGAGACCATCCTGGCCAAAATGGTGAAACCTCATCTCTACTAAAAATACAAAAATTAGCCAGACGTGGTGGTGGGTGCCTGTAGTCCCAGCTACTCAGGAGGCTGAAGCAGGAGAATTGCTTGAACCTGGGAGGCAGAGGTTGCAGTGAGCCAAGATTGTGCCACTGCACTCCAGCCTGGAGACAGAGCAAGACTCCATCTCAAAAAAAAAAAAAAAAAAAAAAAAAATTTAAGTATCAGTAGGCCGGGCACAGTAGCTCATGCCTGTAATCCCAGCAGTTTGGGAAGCTGAGGCAGGTGGATCACTTGAGGTCAGGAGTTTGAGACCAGCCTGGCCAACATGGCAAAACCCCGTCTCTACTAAAAATACAAAAAAAAAAAAAAAAAAAAAAAAAAAGCCAGGTGTCATGGTGCATGCCTGTAACCCCAGCTACTCGAGAGGCTGAAGAAGGAGAATCACTTGAACCCAGGAAGCAGAGATTGCAGTGAGCCAAGATCACGCCACTGCACTCCAGCCTGGGCAACAGAGACTCTATCTAAAAAAAATAAAAAAATAAAAAATGAAGCATTCAGTGCTGGAGAAGAAATGGGAAATGGGTATTTCCCTAAATTGTTGCTGGGAGTGTGAATTGTTACAATGCTTGTAGAAAGCAATATGGCAATATTTACTAAAAGCTTGACCCAGAAATCTTACTTTGGATATTAAAAACTCACGGGTTGGGCACAGTGGCTTATTATGCCTGTAATCCCACCACTTTGGGAGGCTGAAGCGAGCAGATCATCTGAGGTCAAGAGTTCGAGACCAGCCTGACCAACATAGTGAAACCTCGTCTCTACTAAAAATACAAAAATTAGCAGGGCGTAGTGGCGCACGCCTGTAGTCGCAGCTACTTGGGAGGCTGAGGTGGGAGAACTGCTTGAACCCGGGAGGCGGAAGCTGCAGTGAGCCGAGATCACACTATTGCACCTCAGCCTGGGCAACAGAGAGAGGCTCCGTCTCAAAAAAACAAACAACAGGCCGGGCGCGGTGGCTTGTGCCTGTAATCCCAGCACTTTGGGAAGCCGAGGCAGGTGAATCACCTGAGGTCAGGAGTTCGAGACCAGCCTGGCTGACATGGCGAATCCCTGTCTGTGAGAAAAATACAAAAATTAGCTGTGCACGGCCGGGCGCGGTGGCTCACGCCTGTAATCCCAGCACTTTGGGAGGCCGAGGCAGGCGGATCAGAGGTCAGGAGATCGAGACCATCCTGGCTAACACAGTGAAACCCTGTCTCTACTAAAAATATAAAAAATTAGCCGGACATGGTGGCGGGCGCCTGTAGTCCCAGCTACTCGGGAGGCTGAGGCAGGAGAACGGCGTGAACCTGGGAGGTGGAGATTGCAGTGAGCGAAGATCGAGCCACTGCACTCACGCCTGGGCGACAGAGCGAGACTCCGTCTCAAACAAACAAACAAAAAGAACAATTAGCTGGGCATGGTGGTGCACGCCTGTAGTCCCAGCTACTCGGGAAGCCGATGCAGGAGAATTGCTTGAACCAGAGAGGCAGAGGTTGCAGGGAGCCAAGATCGCATCACTGCACTCCAGCCTGGGTGACAGAGCGAGACTCCATCTCAAATAAATAAATAAATAAAACAAAAACAAAAAACAAAAACACTCACTATGTTGGCCAGGCGCAGTGGCTCTTGCCTGTTATCCCAGCACTTTGGGAGGCCGAGGAGGATGGATCACTTGAGATCAGGAGTTCAAGACCAGCCTAGCCAATATGGTGAAACCCTATCTCTACTAAACATACAAAAATTAGCCGGGTGTGGTGGCTCACGCCTGTAATCCTAGCACTTTGGCAGGCTGAGGCAGGTGGATCACAAGGTCAGGAGATCAAGACCATCCTGGCTAACATGGTGAAACCCTGTCTCTACTGAAAATACAAAAAATTAGCCAGGCGTGGTGGTGGGCTCCTGTAGTCCCAGCTACTCGGGAGGCTGAGGCAGGAGAATGGCATGAACCCAGGAGGCAGAGCTCGCAGTGGGCCTAGATCGCGCCACAGCACTCCAGCCTGGGCAAGAGAGGGAGACTCCGTCTCAAAAAAAAAAAAAATTAGCCAGACGTGGTGGCGTGTGCCTGTAATCCTAGCTACTCGGGGTTGAAGCAGGAGAATCACTTGAACCCAGGAGGAGGAGGTTGCAGTGAGCCAAGACCGTGCCATTGCACTCCAGCCTGGGTGACAGGAGACTCCATCTCAAAAAAACAAAACAACACAAAACTCATTATGTAAATATATATTACAAGGTATTTTATCAAAGCCTTGTTTCTAGTGGGAAAAACTGCAAAGTAATAATAAATATTATCCTTCTGTACAGGTATGGATGAAGAAATTATGGTTACATACAAATGACAGAGTGTTAAGCACCTGTTCAAATGAATAACTTGGATCTCTATCAGTTGGCCTAGAGACAGACATGCACTGTTAAATGGGAAAAGCAAGTTATTATATATCCGGGTTTTTTTTGTTTGTTTGTTTTTGAGATGGAGTCTTACTCTGTAGCCCAGGCTGAGTGCAATGACGCCTCTGCCTCCCAAAGTGCTGGGATTACGGGCGTGAGCCACCGCACCCGGCCTATATATCCCTTTTGTAAAGGCAGATTAGCAAAGTTTAAAAAGATATATATTTGGGGGACCGGCGCCGCAGGCGGATCACCTGAGGTCAGGAGTTCCAGACCAGCCTGGCCAACATGGTGAAACCCCATCTCTACTAAAAATACAAAAAAATTAGCCGGGCGTGGTGGCAGGGCGCCTGTAGTCCCAGCTACCCGGGAGGCTGAGGCATGAGAATTGCTTGAACCAGGGAGGCAGAGGTTACAGTGAGCCGAGATCGCGCCATTGCACTCCAGCCTGGGTGGACAGAGCGAGACTCTGTCTCAAAAAGAAAAGAAAAAAAAGAAAAGAAAAAAGCTGATGTAAGATTTCATTTTACTAAAGAAACACAGAAATAAGCATAGCACCCAAGAGTAGTTAGGTGAATACTAAATTGCTTTCCTTTATAACTCTCTTTAAAGAGAGCCACCTACACCGTTGGCTGTCTCCCATTGCTCAAAACGCAGAAACAGAAAACGTTTCGAATTGGGGAAACTCAGACAGCTACCGTATCCAAAAATGGTAAGTTAAGAAAAATCGGGGGCAGGAGGAGGTAGCAAGGAGGGGAAAAAAATACGGGAAAAAAAGGTACAACACATCATAGCATCCCGTCTGTAAAGATTGATTGAATCGAGGCCGGACGAAGTGACTCTCGCCTGTAATCCCAGCACTTTGGAAGGCCGAGGCTGGCGGATCACGAGGTCAGGAGATGGAGACCATCCTGGCTAACACGGTGAAACCCCGTCTCTACTAAAAATACAAATAAAAAAAATTAGCCGGGCGTGGTGGCACGCGCCAACAGTCCCAGGTAGTACTTGGGAGGATGAGGCACGAAAATGGCATGAACCCGGGAGGCGGAGCTTGCAATGAGCCGAGATGCCGCCATTACACTCAATGCTGGGAAACACAGCAAGATTCTCTCTCAAATAAAAAAAAAAAAACAGGATCAAGACAAAATACCACACTAAAACAGTATAGCACTTAAGTATGATTAAAGAACTCATTACCAATACGAATAATTAAAACCAATGTAACCAAACCACCTTCTTCTGTTAAACCATTAAAAGCAAGAAACCCACTCAGACCGCGTTCTCTTCCTCTTACCCTCCAAAGAGAACAGTAAGAACGATCGTCAATGGCAAATCGTACTTGCAATGAAAGCAACAACAAAAAACCATTTTCACGCTCAGAAAAAAAAACTACATTTCTCCCTTGTGCTTTCCCGTGCTCTACACGTTCAGAAAAACTTCTCTAGTAACAAACTATAGAAGTGATATCCGGAAGTATAGTCTTAATTTTGTAATCCTAGCCTGTGTTGGGTCCACATCCGCCGTGCACTTTGAACTGATGGCGAGATAGTTTCGCTGCTTCTGATTCCCTTAGGAAATAAATAGGAAGATATATTAGCAATAACATCTTTTCGAATACTATCACTTAAGAACACATTTTAACGTTTTAAGTGGAAACGTAATTTTAAAAATTGTTTTAATTTAAAAAGTTTAAAAGCAAGCATGCTAAATTAGCATAATACGGAATGACAGCCAATCACAACCTGAATTTTTAAAGCGGGAAGCGTTTGCTCCTGGTGTCCTGTAATCCGGTGATCCTGGTGTTTTGAGAGCCCACGCCGCGGTCCAGGCGAGAGGATACTTTGTTCTATGAGTTCAAGACTAGCCTAGGCAATATAGCAGAATCCCGTCTCTACCAAGGGGGGAAAAATAAAAAATAAAAAATGAGCTGGGCGTGGGGGCACCGCCTGTAGTCCCAGCTACTGGGGAGGGTGAACAGGATGATCCCTTGAGCCAGGGAAGCTGGCTGAGTCCGAAGCTGCAGTGAGCTTTGATCGCCCCACTGCACCCCAGCGTGGGAGACTGTGAGATCTTGACTCTTAAAAACAATTTTTTTAGGGGAGATAGTATACAATAGACATAAAATATACCATCTTAACCATTTTTCACATATACAATTCAGTGGCATTAAGTACATTCATGTAGCCATTGGCACGTAACCATCACCATTATTTATCTCCAGAACTTTTTCGACATCGCAAACTGAAACTCTAACCCATAAAACAAACTTCCCTTCCCTCCCTCTGCCCAGACCCTTTTAACCACTATTCTACTTTCTGTCTCTATGAATTTGATTCTTGTAGGTACCTCTAAAAGTGGAAACATGCAATATTGTCTTTTTGTATCTGGCTTACTTCACTTATATTTCTTTTCAAGGTTCATTCATGTTGTAACATATTGCAGAATTTCACAACTTTTTTAGGCTGGAGTGCAATGATGCATGACGGCTCACTGCAGCCCTGACCTCCAGGGCTCAGGTGATCCTCCCACGTCAGCTTCCTGAACAGCTGGGATCACAGGCACATGCCATCACACCAGGCTAATTTTTTATGTTTTTTTTTGTAGGGAAGGGGCTTCACCACATTGCCCAGGCTGGTGTTGAACTCCTGGGCTCAAGGGATCCACCCACCTAAGCCTCTCAAAGTGGTGGGACTACAGGCGTGAGCCACCACGCCCAGCGGTTTTCTTTTTTCTTTTTTTTTTGAGATGGAGTCTCGCTCAGTCACCCAGGCTGGAGTGCAGTGATGAGATCTCAGCTCACTGCAAGCTCCGCCTCCCGGGTTCATGCCATTCTCCTGCCTCAGCCTCCCAAGTAGCTGGGACTACAGGCGCTCAACACCACACCCAGCTATTTTTTTTTTTTGTATTTTTTAGTAGAGACAGGGTTTCACTGTGTTAGCCAGGTTGGTCTCGATCTCCTGATCTCATGATCCGCCCTCCTCAGCCTCCCAAAGTGCTGGGATTACAGGCGTGAGCCACCGCACCCAGCCGCGGATTTCTTAATTATATTTTTGAATTGTTCCTTGCTAGTGTATAAAAACACAACTGGACCAGGCACGGTGACTCATGTCTATCATCAGCACTTTGGGAGGCCGAGGCGGGCGGAACACCTGAGCTCAGGAATTTGAGACCAGCCTGGCCAACATGGTGAAACCCCATCTCTACTAAAAATACAAAAATTAGCCAAACGTGGTGGTGGGCACCTGTAATCCCAGCTACTTGGGAGGCTGAGGCTGGAGAATCACTTGAACCCGGGAGGCCGAGGTTGCAGTGAGCCAAGATCCAGCCATTGCACTCTAGCCTGGGCAAAAAAACCAAAACTCCTAAAAAAAAAAAAAATGTCAACAACAAAAAACAACAACTGGTTTTTGTGAGTTGATCTTGTGTTCTGAAACTTTGCTGAATTTGCTTATTAGCTCTAGTAATTTTTGTGTGAGTATTCCTTGGGATTTTCTATATTTAGAGAGATAGTTTTATTTCTTCTTTCCCAATTTGGTGCCTCTTATTGCTTTTTCTTACCTAAAGGCTTTGGCTACAACTTCTAGTAAAGTGTTGACTAGCAGTGGTAAAAGTGAACCTCTGTGTCTTCTTCCTGATCTTAGGGGGAAAGCTTTTAGTCTTTTGCCATTAAGTATGATGATAACTGTGGGTTTTTCACAAATATCTCTTATAATGTTGAGGCAATTCCTCTCGTTTCATAGTTTTATGTATGTTTTAATCGTGAAATGTTAGAATTTCTTAGATGCTTTTTCTGTGTCAGCTGGAATGACTGTTTTTTTCCCTTTGTTCTACTAATGTGGTATATTACATTAATTGATTTTCTTATGTTGAACCACCCCCTTCATTCCTGGGATAAATACCTCCCATCCCCTCAGCTGCAGCACCTTATTAAAGCCTTCTTCCTTGGCAATAATCATTGTCTCAGTGATTGGCTTTCTGTGAGGTGAGTGGCAGGCCCTAGACGGAACCCCTGGTGTTTTAGTAACACCAGGATGGCCAGTAGCCTCCAGATGCTGGAGGAGTCAAGAAACGATCCCCCCTTCCAGGCTTCAAATGACCTTGCCAACAGTTTGATTCCTGACTTTGAGCCTCCAGAACTGTGAGAGAATATATATATATATACATTTTTTTTTTGACAGAGTCTCACTTAGTCACCCAGGCTGGAGTGCAGTGGCATGATCTGGGCTCACTGTAATCTCTGCCTCCTGGGTTCAAGTGATTCTCATGCCTCAGCCTCCAGAGTAGCTGGGACTACAGGCATATGCCACCACACCCGGCTAATTTTTGTATTTTTAGTAGAGACGGGGTTTTGCCATGTTGGTCAGGCTGGTCTTGAATTCCTGACCTCAAGTGATCTGCCTGCCTTGGCCTCCCAAACTGTTGGGATTACAAGCATGAGCCACCACACCCAGCCAAAGCCACCACGCCTGGCCTTTAATTTCAAAATAATTTTATATTCACAGGAAACTGCACACAGCACAGAGAATTCCTGTGTGCTCTTCACACAGTTCCTCCCATGGCTACGTTTTCCATAGCTATAGTACAATATCAAACCATGAAATTTACATTAATGAAATATGTGTATATGGTTTTATGCCATTTTATCACATGTTGATTCATGTACTCACCATTGCAATCAAGATACAAAACTGTTCCACAAAGATCTCTTTCGCCTTTTATTTATTTTATTAGTAAGTTTTAGAGACAGAGCCTCACTCTGCTGCCCAGGCTGGAGTGCAGCAGCACAATGATAGTTCACTGCAGCCTTGAACTCCTGGACTAATGTGATCCTCCCACCTAAGCCTCCAGAATAGCTGGGACTACAGACATGCATGCACCACCAGGCCTGGATAATTTTTTCAATTTTTTTTTTGAGACGGAGTCTTGCTCTGTTGCCCAGGCTGGAGTGCAGTGGCACGATCTCGGCTCACTGCAAGCTCCACCTCCCAGGTTCACACCATTCTCCTGCCTCAGCCTCCCGAGCTGGGACCACAGGGGCCTGCCACCACACCCGGCTAATTTTTTGTATTTTTTAGTAGAGACAGGGTTTCACCGTGTTAGCCACGATGGTCTCGATCTCCTGACCTCATGATCCGCCCGCCTTGGCCTCCCAAAGTGCTGGGATTACAGTCATGAGCCACTGTGCCCGGCCAAGTTTTTCAATTTTTTGTAGAGACAAGGTCTTGCCATGTTGCCCAGGCTGGTCTCAAAGTCCTGGCCTCAAGTGATCCTCGAATCTCAGCCTCCCAAAGCACTGGGATTACAGGTATGCGTCACCACGCCAGGCCCTCACCCCTTTATAGACATAACCCTGCTCCACACCATCCCTAATTCCTGACAATGAGTAATTTGTTCTCCATTTCTGTAATTATGTCATTTCAAGAATGTTATATAAATGGAATCAAATCATAGTCTGTAACCTTTTGAGATTGCCTTTTTTTTTTTTTTATTCGAGATGGAGTCTTACTCTGTTGTCCAGACTGGAGTGCAGTGGTGTGATCTTAGCTCACTGCAACGTCCACCTCCCGGGTTCCAGCGATTCTCCTGTCTCAGCCTCCCGAGTAGCTGGGATTACAGGTGCCGGCCACCACACCTGGCTAATTTTTATATTTTTAGTAGAGGTGGGGTTTCACCATGTTGGCCAGGCTGGTCTCAAACTTCTGGCCTCAGGTGATCCGTCCGCCTCAGCCTCCCAAAATGCTGGGATTACAGGTGTGAGCCACCACGCCTAGCCTGACTTGCCTTTTTTTTTCATGCAGCATAATTCCCTTAAGATCCATCCAATTAGGATATACCAAGAAATCACACACACACACACACACACACATATAAAAAGATCCTCCTAGCCAGGCGTGGTAGCTCATGCCTGTAATCCCAGCACTTTGGGAGGCCGAGGTGGGTGGATTGCCTGAGCTCAGGAGTTCGCGACCAGCCTGGGCAACCTGGTGAAACCCCGTCTCCACCAAAATACAAAAGATTAGCCAGGCATGGCGACATGCTCCTGTAGTCCCAGCTACTCAGGAGGCTGAGGCAGGAGAATTGCTTGAACCTGGCAGACAGAGGTTGCAGTGAGCTGAGATTGTGCCACTGCACTCCAGCCTGGGTGACACAGCGAGACTCCATCTCAAAAAAAAAAAAAAAAAAGATCCATCCAAGTTGTATGTATCAATAGCTCATTTCCTTTTATTGTTAACTAGTATTCCATGTCTGGATATACCATAGTTTAACCATTTATTTGCTGAAGGACATTTCTAATATTTCTAGTTTTTGGTTATTACAAATAACATTATTGTGAACATTCATGTACAGATTGTGTGGACATAACTTTTCTATTCTCTGGGATAAGTGCCCAGCAGTGCAATTGCTGGGTCCTATGGAAAGTGCTTAGTTTGTTGTCACTGACAAACTATTTTCCAGAGTGGCTCTACGTTTTACGTCTCCACCAGCAATGTATGTTATGTTATATCCAGTCTTGTTACAAATCTGCCAGCATTTGGTGTTGACAGTATTTTTTTTTTTTTGAGATGGAGTTTCACTCTTGCTCCCCAGGCTGGAGTGCAATGGCGTGATCTCGGCCCATGGCGACCTCCGCCTCCCGGGTTCAAGCGATTCTCCCGCCTCAGCCTCCCATGTATCTGGGATTACAGGCTTGAGCCGCCACACTTGGCTAATTTTTGTATTTTTAGTGGAGAGGATTCCGCCGTGTTAGCCAGGCTGGTCACTAACCTGACCTCACGTGATCCACCCACCTCAGCCTCCCAAAGTGCTGGGATTACAGGCGTGAGCCACTGAGCCCGACCTAATTTTGTATTTTTAGTAGAGATCAGGTTTCACCATGTTGGTCAGGCTGGTCTCAAACTCCTGACCTCAGGTGATCAGCCTGCCTTGGCCTCCCAAAGTGCTGGGATTACAGGCATCAGCCACTGCACCTGGCCAGAAAAATATACTGTTTTTTTTTGTTTTTTTTTTTGAGATGGAGTCTCACTCTGTTGCCCAGGCTGGAGTGCAGTGGCTCCATCTCAGCTCACTGCAACTTCCGCCTCCTGGATTCAAGCAATTCTCCTGCCTCAGCCTCCTGAGTAGCTGGGACTGCAGCCACCCACCACCAGGCCTGGGTATTTTTTCTTTCTTTCTTTCTTTCTTTTTTTTTGAGACGGAGTCTCGCTCTGTCACCCAGGCTGGAGTCTAGTGGCGCGATCTTGGCTCACTGCAACCTCCGCCTCCCAGGTTCAAGCAATTGTCCTGCCTCAGCCTCCCAAGTAGCTGGGATTACAGGCATGTGCCACCATGCCCAGCTAATTTTTTTGTATTTTTAGTAGAGATGGGGTTTTACCATATTGGCCAGGCTGGTCTCGATCTCCTGACCTCGTGATCCACCCGCCTTGATCTCCCAAAGTGCTGGGATTACAGGCGTGAGCCACCGCGCCCGGCCCCAGGCTGGAGTGCAGTGGTGTGATCTCGGCTCACTGCAACCTCTGCCTCTCAGGTTCAAGTGATTCTCCTGCCTCAGCCTCCCGAGTAGCTGGGATTACAGGCGCACGCCACAATGCCCGGCTAATTTTGTATTTTTAGCAGAGACGGGGTTTCTCTGTGTTGGTCAGGCTGGTTTCAAACTCCCGACCTCAGGTGATCCACCCACCTCGGTCTCCCAAAGTGCTGGGATTACAGGCATGAGCCACCATGCCCGGCCGAAAAATATAATTTAAAACAAAATTTTCTCCCAATCCAGAAGTGTTCTTCACAAAGCTAGTGAAAAAGAAAACACTTTAGTATTGTATAAAACATTAAGCCAGAAAGTGAAACACATCACAGGCAATCTGCTAAGAAATTGCAGACAGAAAGAAATCTCACCCCCTTATATAGCCAAGCAGATAGAACTCAGTACATACATATTTTCCAAAATAAACCATAATTAGTCCTCAAATAAGAGGACTTGACAGCACACTTTCTCCCATATAGTTCATCCTATTTGGCTTTATCTAGAGGAAAAGCAAACTTTTCATATCTTTATGACAGGAAGTGGTTTTGCAATTTGGGGCAGGAAGCCCACCAAAATTAGGCTTCTTTTTTTTTTGAGACGGAGTTTCGCTCTTGTTGCCCAGGCTGGAGTGCAATGGCGCCATCTTGGCTCACCGCAACCTCCGCCTCCCAGGTTCAGGCAATTCTCCTGCCTCAGCCTCCCGAGTAGCTGGAATTACAGGCATGCACCACCACACCTGGCTAATTTTGTATTTTTAGTAGAGACGGGGTTTCTCCATGTTGAGGCTGGTCACCAACTCCTGACCTCAGGTGATCCGCCCGCCTCAGCCTCCCAAAGTGGTGGGATTACAGGCATGAGCCACCGCGCCCGGCCCCAAAATTAGGCTTCTACCCTCCCACAGAAACTGGGAGATATGGGTGCTGTCTACCTTGCTGTTTACATTTCAGTTCCTTGAGGAAGATATTCCTAGGTCATAAAGCTGACAAAAGGCCTATCTAGTGTTGAAAAGATTTACGCAGATTTCAAATAGAGAAGAAAACAGTTACAATGGCAAGTTTTCAAAAGTAAATGCTCAAAGAAAAAGGAGGGGAGGAAAATCTCTTATTTTCAACTGGGAGACTAAAACCTAGTATCTTTAATTTGTATTTGTCCTTAGAATCTACTTCCTGCTTGATGTTCTAAATTCCAAAAATCCATGGCGGGGACGGGGGGGCGGGTGGCATGTCACTAGGCCAAAAAGCTATTTGACAAAATCATTCAGAGTATAGGTACTGTAGTGTGTATGACTCTTGTAGAAAGAACTGCTTCCTCTCCAACTTCTAATAGATCCCTACACTCTTACTATCTCTCCCTGGACTTTTCTGAATCTCTTTTGAATCCATGCATTAACTGTCACACTAGCCACATTTGTTACAACATTTTGGAAATCGATGAGAGGGGAACAAAGTTCTGAGGACTGAAAAATTAGTCTATCCTCTAAGTGGGGATGATAAGACTCAGAGAAGGCAATTTACCAAAGATCAGGTACCTGGGCTCTTTCCCCAGTTGCAGCCCCTTGGTTTTTATCACTTTAAAAAAAATATTGCGGCCGGGCGCTGTGGCTCAAGCCTGTAATCCCAGCACTTTGGGAGACCGAGGCGGGCGGATCACGAGGTCAGGAGATCGAGACCATCCTGGCTAACATGGTGAAACCCCGTCTCTACAAAAATAAAAAAAAATTAGCCAGGCGTGGTGGCGGAGGCCTGTAGTCCCAGCTACTCAGGAGGCTGAAGCAGGAGAATGACGTGAACCCGGGAGGTGGAGCTTGCAGTGAGCCGAGATCGCGCCACTGCACTCCAGCCTGGGCGACAGAGCAAGACTCTGTCTCAAAAAAAAAAAAAAGTTTTTTTTGTATTTTTTGTTTGTTTGTTTTTCGAGATGATGAGGGTCTCACTCTGTTGCCCAGGCTGGAGTACAGAGGCAAGATCATTGCTTACTGCAACCTCTGCCTCCCAGGCTCAAGTGATCCTCCCATTCAGCCCCCCAAGTAGCTGGGACTACAGGCGACTGCCACCACACCCAGCTAATTTTAAAATTATTTGTAGAGACAAGGTTTCACCATTTTGCCCAGGCTGGTCTTGAACTCCTAGGCTCAAGCCATCTGCCTCGGCCTCCCAAAGTGCTGGAATTACAGGGGTGAGCCACTGCGCCCGGTTTTTATCATTCTTATAATAATTATTGTTATCATTTGACAAATAAAAAAATTTATGACGCAGCCTCAGGTGGTCCTGACATGTGGCCCCGGTTTTTATCATTCTTAACAATAGGTAATGTTCATTGAGTCCTTATTGTGTGTCAGTATTTTATTTATCTTATTTTATTCTTCTTGAGACGTTGTCTCGCTCCGTCCCCCAGGCTGGAGTGCAGTGGCGCGATCTCGACTCACTGCAACCTCCGCCTCCTGGGAGGCAACATAGTTAGACCCCCATCTCTACTTCAACCTGGGGGACAGAGTGAGACCCTGTCTCAAAAAAATAAAAATAAAAAATAACAAAAATAATAATAATAAAGTGTCTGCTCTTGGATTATACACCTACAGAGTAATAATGTTGCAGTTTGGACGCACATTTGTCCTACTTTAAATGACCACCCTGCAAACTAAAAGTAGTACCATGAACAAAATTCACTCATAATCCCACGGCCCAAGCGACAGGCTTAAGTGAGGAAGGCCCTGTGTAGTCTTCCTGGAAATCTTGGTCCACACACCAGCCCTGCAGCCAAAGCGGGTCAGTTCTGCAGGTCCCTGCCCCAGGTGCGCAGCTGCACTACGCGGCCTCCGGCCCGCCCGGGAGAAACAGGCCCTGCCCGCCGCTGCGCCGCAGCCAATAGCGCGGGTGCGTTTGGTGGCGGCCCATGCTTGGCTGCGCTCTCTGATTGGGCGCCTCCGGGGGCGGGGCCAAGCCCAAGCCTGGCGCGCAGAGTGCACCTTCCTGAGCTCGAGCGGTCCAGCGCCAAGTTCGGGGTTTGGGGTTGGAGCGGCTGGTCACGTGGCTGGCCCGCGGCGGTGCGCGGGGCGTTGGGTCAGCGGGTCTGGGACTGGTGGCACCGGCGGCGGCGTAGGACGGAGGCGTCGCTAGGTACGTGCGCGGGCCGTGTTCCGGTAGGTGGGCGGCTTCTGGTCCGAGGGCCGCGGCGTCCCAGAGCCCGGGGGGGTGCTTCGGCGTCCTCGCTGTCCCCCGCCGTACCCCACCCTCTGTAGCCGCAATGACGGGAGGGGAGCGCTTGGGTCGCGCCTGGGCTGGGGATCGGGCGGCGGCCAGCCGCAGCGCCCCAGTTCCAGGCACATTCGGTATGATGGGGTGGCGGCCCGTGGCCTTTGGCAAGAATGCGAAGGCTTATCGGGGATGTGAGTAGTAGCTCTCCACTGAACACTTTTCTCGTTGAGCATTTTCGATTTAAACAATCCTAGCTCCTTCACAACAAAGCTGCAAGTCAAGTGCTACTGTTTCCCCCATTTTACAGGTGAGGAAGGTGGTGGGGCCCTGAGAAAGGAGGCAACTTAAATGGCAGAGCCCGGAATAGAACCCGGGTTCTCAAAGCCTGCGCCCCTAAAGGCTGCGCGCAGGGTCGCTCCACTTTTGGCCCGTGCCACCAGATCCCTGTGGGGAATGAGCTCTTCCTGTTGCCCGCAATCTGCCACCCCCTGTTCTAGGAGACAAATGTTGCACTGTGAAGTTCTTGGCCCGGTGCCTTGGCTTCGAGATTCCGGGAGTTAAGTGACCCTTGGTCCAGCTGAGGTCAGCACAGATGCGGGCCTTCAATCGGGCAGTTACCCAGAGAATAGACTGGAAACACCAGTTTAGGTTCTTGCAGAAATAACATTGTAGGCCGGGCGCGGTGGCTCATGCCTGTAATCCCAGCATTTTGGGAGGCCGAGGTGGGCGGATCACTTGAGGTTAGTAGTTGGAGACCAGCCTGGCCAACATGGTGAAACCCCGTCTGTACTAAAAATACAAAAAAACCTGGCTGCCCATGGTGGCACACACCTATAATCCCAGCTACTCGGAAGGCTGAGGCAGGAGAATCGCTTGAACCCGGGAGGTGGAGGTTGCAGTGAGCGGAGATCACGCCACTGCACTCCAGCCTGAGTGACAGAGTGAGACTCTATCTCAAAAGAAAGAAAGAGAGAGAAAGAAAAGAAAAAAAAGAAAAGAAATAACGTAAATTTATTACTTGGGGGAACTTGGAACGGAAGTGGGTAATTGTGTTTTTATTTAGTGCAATGTCCTGGGACAAGGCCTTGGAACTGAAGAGAAACCATTGTTCAGATTCTGGCTCTTATATGGCTTTAGACAAATTAGCTCCCTGGGCCTCAATTTCCTCTTCTGTAAAGAAGAGAACACAAAATGTGTGTGAGATAGAAGATGTGCAACAAGTTAGTTCCCTGAGCAGATCCTTGGCTGGATCCTCTTATGTGACAGAGGCCCAGGTAAGATTTGGAGGCATGGGGAGGCTGGTGACCTTGCAGGTGACTTCACTTACTAGGTCTTTTTCCCTGATGTTGAGGATCATGCCACACATGAGCAACAGTGCCTCTACAGAAATATCCAATGTTGTAATGACTGATGTTGCAGTGAGCTGTGTTGGCTGGGGGACTTACCAGGTATTACTGAATGTTAATGAAGATGTCCCTAAGATTCCCAATTTTCTTTTTTTTTTTTTTTGAGACGGAGTCTCACTCTGTTGCCCAGGCCGGAGAGCAGTGGCGCGATCTCGGCTCACTGCAAGCTCCGCCTCCCGGGTTCACGCCATTCTCCTGCCTCAGCCTCCTGAGTAGCTGGGACTACAGGCGCCGCCACCACGCCCAGCTAATTTTTTTTTATTTTTGTAGAGACGGGGTTTCACCATGTTAGCCAGGATGGTCTCGATCTCCTGACCTCGTGATCTGCCCGCCTCGGCCTCCCAAAGTGCTGGGATTACAGATGTGAGCCACTGCACCCAGCCCCCTTTTTTCTTTTTTGTTTTTTTTTTTGAAACGGAGTCTAGCTCTGTCACCCAGGCTGGAGTGCAGTGGCATGATCTCGGTCCACTGCAATCTCTACCTCACTGGTTCAAGCTATTCTCCTGGTCTCAGCCTGCTGAGTAGCTGGGATTACAGGCATATGCCACCATGCCTGGCTAATTTTTGTTTTTTTTTTTTTTTTTTTTTTTTTGAGACAGAGTCTTGCTCTGTTGTCCAGGCTGGAGTGCGGTGGCACGATCTCAGCTCACTGCAACCTCCTGGGTTCAAGCGATTATCTTGCCTCAGCCTCCTGAGTAGCTGGGGTTACAGGTGCGCACCACACACCCAGCTCATTTTTGTATTTTTAGTAGAGACGGAGTTTTACCGTGTTGGTCAGGCTGGTCTCGAACTCCTGACCTGGGGTGATGCACCCGCCTTGGCCTCCCAAAGTGCTTGGATTACAGGAATTGAGCCACTGCGCCCAGCTAATTTTTGTATTTTTAGTAGAGATGGGGTTTCACCATATTGGCCAGGCTGGTCTCAAACTCCTGACCTCAAGTGATCCACCCACCTCGGCCTCCCAAAGTGCTGGGATTACAGGCGTCAGCCACCGCGCCTGACCGCTTTTTTTTCTTTCTTTAGAGAGACGGGGTCTCCCTATGTTGCCCAGGGTGGTCTTGACTCTTGTGGTCCTGTGACTCCCCAGACTTCAGGTGTGCAAGCCTGATTTCTGACCCTTGGCCAGTCACACTTTCTCCTTTGTCTGGCCTTTGAACTTGGGGTGCTCTGCACTTGTTTACTCTGCGTAGATTGCTCTCATCCCAGATTTCATGGTTGGCTCCTTTCCACAGCTCAGATTTCAGCTCGGGGACGTTCCCTGACCCAGTCTAAAGTAGCCTTGCACCCATTTATTGCATCTTTCTTTCTTTTCTTTTCTTTTTTTTTTTTTTGAGACAGGGTCTTGTTCTCTTGGCCAGGCTGGAGTGCTGTGGGAAAATCTGGGCTCACTGCAGCCTCAACCTCCGGGACTCAAGTGATCATCCTGCCTCAGCCACCCAGAGTAGCTGAGAATACAGGCGTGCGCCACCAGGCTCGGGTAATTTTTTGTATTTTTTTTTAGAGACAGGGTTTTGCCATGTTGCCTAGGCTGGTCTTGAACGCCTGGGCTCAAGTGATCTTCTCGTCTCAGCCTCTCAGAGTTCTGGGATTACAAGTGTAAGCAACCATGCCTGGCCTTGTGTATTTCTTTTTGTTTTTTTTTGTGATGGAGTCTTGCTCTGTCACCCAGGCTGGAGTGCAATGGTATGATCTCGGCTCACTGCAACCTCCACCTCCTGGGTTCAAGCGATTTTCCTACCTCAGCCTCCCGCATAGCTGGTATTACAGGGGCCCACCACTATGCCCATCTAATTTTTGTATTTTTTAGTAGAGACGGGGTTTCGCTGTGTTGGCCAGGCTGGTCTCGAACTCCTGACCTCAGGTGATCCGCCCGCCTTGGCCTCCCAAAGTGCTGGGGTTACAGGTGTGAGCCACTGTGCCTGGCCAAATAATTTTTTTTTTTTTTAAGATAGAGTCTTGCTTTGTTGCCAGGCTGCGGTGCAGTGGTGTGATCTCTGCTCACTACAGTCTCCGCCTCCTGGGTTCAAGCCATTCTTCTGCCTCAGCCTCCTGAGTAGCTGGAATTACAGGCGGGCGCCACCACACCCAGCTAATTTTAGTATTTTTAGTGGAGATGGGGTTTCACCATGTTGGCCAGGACAGTCTTGATTTCCTGACCTCGTGGTCTGCCCGCCTTGGCCTCCCAAAGTGCTGGGATTACAGGCGTGAACCACTGCACCTGGCCTTTTTTTTTTTATTGAGACACAGTCTCACTCTGTCACCCAGACTGGAGTGCAGTGGCACAATCTCGGCTCACTGCAGCCTCCACCTCTGAGGCTCAAGTAAGTCTCATGCCTCAGGTGTGTGCCACCACACCCAATTAATTTTTTATATTTTTGCTATAGACAGGGTTTCACCATGTTAGCCAGGCTGGTCTCAAACTCCTGGCCTCAAGTTGATCTGCCCACCTCAGCCTTCCAAAGTGCTGGGATTACAGATGTGAGCCACCTTGCCCAGCCTAATTTCTAAATTTTTGTAGAGACGTGGTTTCACTGTGTTGCCTAGGCTGTGGTTGAACTCCTAGGCTCAAAGGATCCTCCTGCCTTGACTCCCCTAAGTGCTGGGATTACAGGCATAAGCCACCATACCAGGCCCTTTTTTTTTTTTCCCCTGGAGACGGAGTCTTGCTTTGTCACCCAGGCTAGAGTGCAGTGGTGTGATCTCGGCTCACTACAACTTCCGCCTCCCGGGTTCAAGCGATTCTCCTGCCTCAGCCTCCCAAGTAGCTGGGGTTACAGGTGCCTGCCACCACACCTGGGTAATTTTTGTATTTTTAGTCATGTTGGCCAGGCTGGTCTCAAACTTATGACCTCATGATCCGCACGCCTTGGCCTCCCAAAGTGCTGGGATTACAGGCATGAGCCACTGGGCCCAGCCCAACCTGTAATTCTTTAGGAAGATTTATATTCAAACAAGTCCTTTTTTTATTTAAAAGAAAAAAACACACACACACAGGGTCTTACTCTGTCACCCAGGCTGGAATGCACTGCCACAATCACGGCTCATTGCAACCTCTAGCTTCCAGGCTCAGGTGATCCTCCCACCTCAGCCTCCTGAATAGCTGGGACTACAGATGCATGCCACCACGACCAGCTAATAATTTGTATTTTTTGTAGAAATGGGGCTTTGCCATGTTGCCCAGGCCAGTCTTGAACTCCTGGGCTCAAGTGATCCTCCTGCCTCAGCCTCCCAAAGTGCTGGAATTACAGGCATGAACCACCACACCCAGCCCAAGTACATATTTTAACTAACAGCTTCACAGGAACTCTGTGGATTACTTAGAGCATGTGCTTTGGGGTTTCGAGTCCTGCCTCTGTGGCTAACTTTCTGTGCAGCCCTGGGCTAAGATATTTTACTTTTCTTTGAGACAGAGTCTCGCTCTGTTGCCAGCCTGGAGTGCAGTGGTGATCTTGGCTCACTGCAACCTCTGACTCCCAGGTTCAAGTGATTCTCCTGCCTCAGCCTCCCGAGTAGCTGGGATTACAGGCGTGAGCCACTACGCCCGGCTAATTTTTGTATTTTTAGTAGAGATGGGGTTTCACCGTGTAGGCCAGGATGGTCTCGATCTCCTGACCTCCTGATCCGCCCACCTCGGCCTCCCAAAGTACTGGGATTACAGGCATGAGCCACTGCGCCCAGCCACAATATTTCACTTTTCTAACGTCGTTTTTCTTTCTTTAGTTCTTTTTTTTTTTTTTTAAGAGTCCTAGCCCAGGCTGGGCGCGGTGGCTCACACCTGTAATCCCAGCACTTTGGGAGGCCGAGACCATCCTGGCTAACCGGTGAAACCCCATCTCTACTGAAAAAATAAAAAAAAAATTAGCCAGGCATGGTGGTGGGTGCCTGTGTTCCTGGCTACTTGGGAGGCTGAGGCAGGAGAATGGCATGAACCCGGGAGGTGGAGCTTGCAGTGAGCCGAGATCGCGCCACTGTACTCCAGCCTGGGCGACAGAGTGAGACTCTGTCTCAAAAAAAAAAAAAAAAAAGAGTCCTAGCTCAGTAGGTAGGACTATAGGCCCATCCCACCATGCCCAGCTAACTTTTTTTTTTGTAGCAATGCCCAGGCTGGTCTTGAACTCCTGGCCTCCCAAAGTGCTGGGGTTACAGGTGTGAGTTGCCATGCCTGGCCCTGAGCCTCAATTTCATTACTTGAAGTATGAAATAAATTAACACATTAAAGTGTTGCTAGGATTAAAATGAGGTCCTTATGTATTCAAAAATCGTACAGAGATTTTTGAGGCCCTTCTTATAGCAAAACTCCCATTTACATTTTTCTGGAGCCTGGAGAAATGTGTCCAGACTGAGTGAATAGGTGCTATTTGCTGTACTTACATTATCATTTATAAAATACTACTGGTGGTCATCCTGGAAAGATGATCCCAACTGCCTATATCCTGTTCATCATTAACTTGTGTGTCCCAAAAAATCTTTTGAAAAGTTGCTAAATAGTGAATATTTACTATTTTATGAGGGCCTGCCAGTTCCCTGCCAGTGGAATTGTTTCAAGTCAATGATTCATCTGTTCAGTCATTTGGAAAATACTCTTTTTTTTTTTTTTTTTTTTTTTTTGAGGTGGAGTCTTGCTCTATGGCCAGGCTGGAGTGCAGTGGTGTGATCTCGGCTCACTGCAAGCTCTGCCTCCCAGATTCAAGAGATTCTCCTGCCTCAGCCTCCCGAGTAGCTGGGACTACAGGCATGTGCCACAACGTCCAGCTCATTTTTTGTATTTTTAGTAGAGATGGGGTTTCACCAGGTTGGCCAGGATGGTCTCCAACTCCAGATCTTGTGATCTGCCCACCTCGGCCTCCCAAAGTGCTGGGATTGCAGGCGTGAGCCACCGTGCCCGGCCGGAAAATATTCTTCATGTATAGCAGTGTTGGGTACCGCAGGAGATTTTTTAAAAAGTAGCACTCAGTCCTTACCTTCAAGGAACTTAGTTTAGTTGTGGGAGATAAGCTATATCCATGAGAAGTTTGGCTGAGAGGAGGCGGAGTTGGGCTCCCTGCAGGTGGGGAGGAGGGTCAGTTCTCATTTCTGAGGGAGATGAGCTGACGTCTGCAGTTTGGAAAGGAACCAGAAGTTCCACATGGTGGTTTTGCAATAGAACATGCTCGTGTTTACCAAGCAATTCTGAGGGAAAGGCTAAAAAAAGTGTTAGTTTATCAACTTGATAGAACTAACAGGTTTCGATGAGCTTTGATTCAATATAATGCTGCGGCCAGGCATGGTGGCTCACGCCTGTAATCCCAGCACTTTGGGAGGCCGAGGCAGGCGGATCACTTCAGAGGAGTTCAAGACCAGCCTGACCAACGTGATAAAACTCCATCTCTACGAAAAATACACAAATTAGCCAGGCGTAGTGGCGCACGCCTGTAGTCCCAGCTACTCAGGAGGCTGAGGCAGGAGAATCACTTGAACCCAGGAGGCGGAGGTTGCAGTGAGCCAAGATCACGCCATTGCCTGGGTGACAGAGTGAGAGTCTTGTCTCAAAAAAATAAAAATAAATAGGTGGGGCGCGGTGGCTGACACCTGTAATCCCAGCACTTTGGGAAGCCAACGTGGGCGGATGACAAGGTCAGGAGATTGAGACCATCCTGGCTAACACAGTGAAACCTCGTCTCTACTAAAAATACAAAAAATTAGCTGGGCATGGTGGCATGCGCCTGTATTCAGAAGATTGAGGCAGGAGAATCTCTTGAACCTGGGAGACGGAGGTTGCAGTGAGCCGAGATCATGCCACTGCACTCCAGCCTGGGCAACAAAGACTACATCTCAAAAATAAATAAAAAATAAATAAAATAAATAAATTTAATTCTGGAAGCTACACATGTTTTTCCCATTTTTTTAGGCAGCTTCGAACCAGTGCAATGACGATGCCAGTCAACGGGGCCCACAAGGATGCTGACCTGTGGTCCTCACATGACAAGATGCTGGCACAACCCCTCAAAGACAGTGATGTTGAGGTGAGATTTTTGGGGTCTTCACAGATTTTTTTATGTTGGAGGCCTTCATTTAATCTTTAGTTCTAATTACAAATTAATTAGGGACAGCCTTGAAATGAGTATTATCCTGCTGGATTTAGAGGTGGTGGCAGACAAAATGGCTACAAATCCTTTGAGGGTAAATTTAAAGATTGCTGGGTTTCTTCAAAGTGTGGAGCACTGTGCAGGGTGCTCTGGAGAAAAGCGAGAAGGGGAGAGATCACTGACAGTTGACCCTTTCCTGACAGTTCACAGGGAATATAGATCTATCTAGACATCTGAAAGCACCTTTATTTTATTTTATTTTACTTGTTTATTTATTTTTTTGAGACAGAGTTTCACTCTTGTTGCCCAGGCTGGAGTGCAATGGCGTGATCTTGGCTCACTGCAACCTCCACCTCCTGGGTTCAAGGGATTCTCCAGCCTCAGCCTCCTGACTAGCTGGGATTGCAGGCACCCACCACCATGCCCGGCTAATTTTTTTTTTTTTTTTTTTTTTGAGACAGAGTCTTGCTCTGTCGCCCAGGCTGGAGTGCAGTGGCGTGATCTCAGCTCACTGCAAGTTCCACCTCCTGGGTTCATGCCATTCTCCTGCCTCAGCCTCCTGAGTAGCTGGGACTACAGGTGCCTGCCACCACACCCGGCTAATTTTTTGTATTTTTTAGTAGAGGTGGGGTTTCACCATGTTAGCCAGGATGGTCTCGATCTCCTGACCTCGTGATCCGCCCACCTCAGCCTCCCAAAGTGCTGGGATTACAGGCGTGAGCCACCGCACCCGGCCTTTTTTTTTTTTTTTTTTTTTTTTTTTTTTTTTTTTTTTTTTTTTTTTTTGAGATATAGTCTTGCTCTGTTGCTCAGGCTGGAGTGCAGTGACGCGATCTCAGCTCACTGCAAGCTCCATCTCCCGGGTTCACGCCATTCTCCTGCCTTAGCCTCCCGAGTAGCTGGGACTACAGGTGCCAGCCACCACGCCCTGGCTAATTTTTTGTATTATTTTTTTTTTTTTAGTAGAGACGGGATTTCACTGTGTTAGCCAGGATGATCTCGATCTCCTGACCTCGTGATCCACCTGTCTCGGCCTCCCAAAGTGCTGGGATTACAGGCGTGAGCCACCACGCCCGGCCTAAAGCATCTTTTCTTTTAAGGAAGAAGAACAAGGAATAAGGTTCAGGGAGGGAGAAACTTGGTGAAATGTAGGAATAAAAATAACAGGATGGTGGTGTTAAAAATTAGGTGGGACACTTAAAGATAACTTTCTCTTCAATCATTTTGTTTTTCTTTTTCTGAGATGAAGTCTCGCTCTTGTTTCCCAGGCTGGAGTGCGATGGCGCGATCTCGGCTCACTGAATCCTCCACCTCCCAGGTTCAAGCGATTCTCCTGCCTCGGCCCCCCGAGTAGCTGAGATTATAGGCGCCTGCCACCACACCCATCTAAGTTTTGTTTTTTTGTTTGTTTGTTTTTGAGACAGAGTTTTGTTCTTGTCGCCCAGGCTGGAGTGCAATGGCGTGATCTCGGCTCACTGCAACCTCCGCCTCCCGGGTTCAAGCGATTCTCCTGCCTCAGCCTCCCGAGTAGCTGGGATTACAGGCATGTGCCACCACGCCCGGCTAATTTTGTATTTTTTAGTAGAGACGAGGGTTTCTCCATGTTGGTCAGGCTGGTCTCGAACCCCCGACCTCAGGTGATCTGCCCATCTCGGCCTCCCAAAGTGCTGGGATTACAGGCGTGAGCCACCACGCCCAGCCAAGTTTTGTATTTTTAGTAGAGATGGAGTTTCACCATATTGGCCAGGCTGGTCTAGAACTCCTGACCTCAGGTGATCCACCAGCCTCGGCCTCCCAAAGTTCTGGGATTACAGTCGTGAGCCACCGCACCTGGCTATCATTTTGTTTTTGTTAATTCATTGATTAGTGCTTTCTCAGATACTAAAACCTTTGAGGAGGATTCATTCTATTCCATAATGTGAAAGAGTGTCTTTTCTCTTTAGGAGGTTGTAATTTGGATCAGAGCAAAATTTTAAACTAAAATTTCCAAATATCAAGCATCTGTTTTCTTCTCATAAGGTTTACAACATCATTAAGAAGGAGAGTAACCGGCAGAGGGTTGGATTGGAGCTGATTGCCTCGGAGAATTTCGCCAGCCGAGCAGTTTTGGAGGCCCTAGGCTCTTGCTTAAATAACAAATACTCTGAGGGGTACCCGGGCCAGAGGTATGTGAATATCTTCAAAGGCCTGGTTCTGACACAGTCATAGGGAGTACTCAGTCAGCCTAGGACCTAAACAATTTGGAAATTTCAGAAAACAATAAGCTTCCCAGCTGTAGGATTTCTGTTCCACGCCTGCTCTCTGACAGAACTCTTTTATTCCCAGCATGTGATAACACTGAAGAGCTCAGCGCAGGTGTACTCAGGGGCACATTTCACAGTTCTTTGGGGGCTTTCTAGAAAAACAGGCCAGTTTGTAAGGAGTATTGAGCCACTGGACTGGTGTGTGGCCTCTGTCTAGAAAAGGTCAGTGTCATCTGAGGGATGCTGCAGAAGGTGGCCGTTGCCATGTGAGTCATCGAGTCTGTATTGGGAATGGTGTGGAAGTGGAGGCTGAATCTGGATTACTGAAAACCGTTTCTGCATTATAAATGTTGGATTTACACATGCAGTGGCTTTCAGTTGACTCTTTCACCCTCAGAATTACAGTGTTATATTCGTTTTTGTTTTTTACAGTCATCATCAGGCAAAGAAAATAAATTACAGAATTAGACATGGCTTTTGCAAATGTGTGCATTTTTGTCCCAAAGGAAACAGAAAGGTCACCCTTGGAGAAGGAATTGCCATTCTGTCCTGAGATGCCCCTGAAGCTCTATGTAGAAGACTGAGAATCAAGTTGAAGGCATTGTCTTTCTCCTATTGTGAATAACTAACTTTTGCATTGTGCCTTAAAGAATTCACCAGGTGTTTTCTTTATTTCTCTCTCTCCTTTCTTTTTCTTTTTCCTTCCTTTCTTTCTTCTTTCAGGCTAAGGTATTTTGTTAACACCAGGTGTTTTCTTTTTTTTTTTCTTCTTTTTTGAGACATGGTCTTTCTCTCACCCAGGCTGAAGTGCAGTGGTGTGATCAAGGTTCACTGCAGCCTTGGTCTCCTGGACCCAAGCCATCCTCCCACCTCAGCCTACTGAGTCGCTGGGACTACAGGCACACACCACCACACCCAGCTAATTTTTTGTAGAGACAGAGTTTCACCCAGGCTGTTGTTGCCCAGGCTGATCTCCATCTCCTGAGCTCAAGCAATCCACCTGCCTTGGCCTCCCAGAGTGCTTAGGATTAGAGCTGTGAGCCACTGCACCCGGTCCACACCAGGTGTTTTCAAAACTAATATTTCATTCGATTCTCACAGCAATGTATCGAGCAAGGGGTGATGTTTTCTACATTTTTAAGAAGGGGGACCGGGCGCGGTGGCTCACGCCTGTAATCCCAGCACTTTGGGAGGCCCAGGCGGGCGGATCACGAGGTCAGGAGATCGAGACCATCCTGGCTAACACGGTGAAACCCCGTCTCTACTAAAAATACAAAAAATTAGCCTGGCAAGGTGGCGGGCGCCTGTAGTCCCAGCTACGTGGGAGGCTGAGGCAGGAGACTGGCGTGAACCCCAGGGGGCAGAGCTTGCAGTGAGCCGAGATCGCGCCACTGCACTCTAGCCTGGGCGATAGCGAGCCTCCGTCTCAAAAAAAAAAAAAAAAAAGAAGGGGACTGAGTGTAGTGGCTCACCCCTGTAATCCCAGTGCTTTAAGAGGCCAGGGCAGAGGATCATTTGAGGCTAGGAATTTGAGACCAGCCTGGGCAATATAGTGAGACGCTGTCTCCAAAACAAAATTTAAAAATTAGCCGGACATGGTGGCATGCGCCTGTAGTCTCAGCTACTCAAGAAACTGAGGTGGAGTATCGCTTGAGCCCAGGAGATCAAAGGCTGCAGTGAGCTATGATTTTGCCAATGCACTCCAGCTGGGGTGACAGAATGAGACCCTGTTTCTAAATTTAAAAAAAACCCCGAAAAACCACAACTTAAATAGAAGTGTAATTACATCGTTTATTCATGTTAAAGGGCTTGTTGTTTTTTTTTTACACGGCGTATCGCTCTGTCACGAGGCTGGAGTGCAGTGGCACAATCTCGGCTCACTGCAGCCTCCACCTCCCAGGTTCAAGCGATTCTCTTGCCTCAGCCTCCCAAGTAGCTGGGACTATAGGCACGTGCCACCACACCCGACTAACTTATTTATTTATTTATTTTTTGTATTTTTAGTAGAGACGGGGTTTCACCGTGTTAGCCAGGCTGGTCTCGATCTCCTGACCTCATGATCCGCCTGCCTCTGTCTCCCAAAGTGTTGGGATTACAGGCGTGAGCCACTGTGCCCAGCCAATTAAAGGGCTCTTTTAAAAGGTAATTATTGGCTGGGCGTGGTGGCTCATGCCTGTAATCCCAGCACTTTAGGAGGCCGAGCTGGGTGGATCATGAGGTCAGGAGATCGAGACCATCCTGGCTAATACGGTGTAAACCCCATCTCTACTAAAAAAAAATACAAAAAAATTAGCCAGGTGTGGTGGCTGGCGCCTGTAGTCCCAGCTACTCGGGAGGCTAAGGCAGGAGAATGGTGTGAACCTGGGAGGTGGAGTTTGCAGTGAGCCGAGATCGCGCCACTGCACTCCAGCCTGGGTGACAGTGAGATTCCGTCTCAAAAAAATAATAAAAATAAAAATAAAAGGTAATTATTACATGTTTTCATTATATTTTGTTAATATAATTTAATATTAATCTACCTTTGGAACATTATTTAAAATCAAAGGCAATATTTGAAAACAATAGGCAAGGCGTGGTGGTTCACACCTGTAATCCCAGCACTTCGGGAGGCTGAGGCAGGTGGATCACCTGAGGTCAGGAGTTTGAGACCAGCCTGGCCAACATGTCGAAACCCTGTCTCTACTAAAAATACAAAAATTAGCTGGGTGTGGAGGTGCGTGCCTGTAATCCCAGCTACTCTGGAGGCTGAGGTAGGAGAATCGCTTGAACTTGGGAGGCGGAGGTTGCAGTGAGCCGAGATCGCACCACTGCACTCCAGCCTGGGAGACAGAGCAAGACTCCATCTCAGAAAAAAAAAAAAGAAAACAGTGTTGACCTAACGTTAATGACTTTGCTTGATACAAACCTAAAAACAAAGTTCTGGGTTTAAAACAAAATGTTATGTATGTGTGAATAAATGAATGACAAGGTCTCGTTGTCTTGCCCAGGCTGGAGTGCAGTGGTGCAATCTCGTCTCATTGCAGCCTCAAACTCTTGGGCTCAAGCAATCCTCCTGCCTCAGCCTCTCTGTAGCTAGGACCACAGGTGCATGCCACCACACCAGGCTAATTTTTAATAGACATGAGGTCTTGCTGTGTTGCCCAGGCTGGTTTCAAACTCCTGGCCTCAAGCAGTCTTCCCACCTGAGCCTTCCATATTACTAGGATTACAGGTGTGAACAACCACATCTGGCCTATTTATTTTTTATTTATTTATTTATTTATTTTGAGACGGAGTCTCACTCTGTCGCCCAGGCTGGAGCGCAGTAGCACGATCTCGGCTCACTACAAGCTCCACCTCCCGGGTTCACGCCATTCTCCTGCCTCAGCCTCCCGAGTAGCTGGGACTACAGGCGCCCGCCACCACACCCGGCTAATTTTTTATATATTTTTTAGTAGAGACGGGGTTTCACCATGTTAGCCAGGATGGTCTCCATCTCCTGACCTCGTGATCCGCCCGCCTCGGCCTCCGAAAGTGCTGGGATTACAGGCGTGAGCCACCGTGCCCGGCCTATTTTTTATCTATTTTTATTTTTTTGAGACAGAGTTTTGCTCTTGTTGCCCAGGGTGGAGTGCAATGGTACAATCTCGGCTCACCGCAACCTCCGCCTCCCAGGTTCAAGCAATTCTCCTACCTCAGCCTCCTCAATAGCTGGGAATACAGGCGTGCACCACCACGCCTGGCTAATTTTGTATTTTTAGGAGAGATGGGGTTTCTCCATGTTGGTCAGGCTGGTCTCGAACTCCTGACGTCAGGTGATCCGCCCACTTCGGCCTCCCAAAGTGCTGAGATTACAAATGTGAGCCACTACGCTGGGCCCGGCCTATTTATTTTTTTTAGAGATAGGGTCTCACTGTGTTGCTCCAGCTGTAGTGCAGTGGTACAATCAAAGCTCACTGCAATCTCCAACTCCTGGGTTCAAGTGATCCTCCCACCTCAGCCTTCCAAGTAACTAGGACTGTAGGTGCAAGCCACTATACTTAGCTCATTTGTAAAATTTTTTCTAGAGCTGAGATCTCACTATGTTGCCTAGCTGGTCTTGAACTCCTGGCCTCAAGCAGTTCTCCCACCTCAGCCTTCCAAATCTCTGAGATTACAGACATGAGCCACTGCATGTAGTTACTTTAAATTTTTTTTTGAGACTGAGTCTTGCTGGGATGCCCAGGCTGGAGTGCAGTGGGGCGATCTCGGCTCACTGCAACCTCCACCTCCTGGGTTCAAGAGATTCTCCTGCCTCAGCCTCCCGAGCAGCTGGGATTACAGTCACCCGCCACCACTCCCGGCTAATTTTTGTATTTTTAGTAGAGACGGGGTTTCACCATATTGGCCAGGCTGGTCTGGAACTCCTGACCTCAGGTGATCTGCCCACCTCGGCCTCCCAAAGTGCTGGGATTACAGGCGTGAGCCACCATGCCCAGCCTAAGCTTGACTACTTTAGGGACCTCATAAAAGTTGAATCATACAGTGCTTGTCTTGTGGTGACTGGTTTGTTTCACTTAGCATAATGTTCTCAGGCTCATCCCTGTTGTATTAATAGCATGTGATAGGATTTCTTTCCTTTTTTTTTTCTTTTTCTTTTCTTTTTTTTTTTTGAGACAGGGTCCAGGCTGGAGTCCAGTGGCGTGATCACAGCTCACTGCAGCCTTTACCTCCTGGGCCAAAGTGAATCTTCCCTTCTCAGCCTCCCAAGTAGCTGGGACTATGGGCACACACCACAACACCTGGCTAATTTTTTGAAATTTTTTGTAGAGATGGGGATATTGCTGTATTGCCCAGGCTGGTCTCGAACTCCTGGGCTCAAGCAATCCTCCTGCCTTGGCTCCTCAAAGTGCTGGGATTATAGGTATAAGCCACCTCTCCCAGCCAAAACCCCCTCTTTTTATAGATGAGATATTTGCTCCAAGTTGCACAGCTGGTTTGGTCTCTTGACTGTAGATTCCAGAGGCATTGGTGGAACACTTGATCATGCTGGCTTCAGCATCTGCATGTTAACAAGCTCTTCTCATTACTTCTCTCCACTTTAGTTTCACTGTCCCACCCCTAAGCTTCTTTGGCCTCTGTGAAGCACAGACTTTCTGGGTCTGAGTGGATCTAAGTCTCCTGCTCTTCTCCCACAGATACTATGGCGGGACTGAGTTTATTGATGAACTGGAGACCCTCTGTCAGAAGCGAGCCCTGCAGGCCTATAAGCTGGACCCACAGTGCTGGGGGGTCAACGTCCAGCCCTACTCAGGTGCTTGTCTCATCCATATGGCCTGGTGCAGCCTCTTCATGTGCATCCCCCAGGGCCGACATGCACCAAGAAGAGTCCTAAGATGGACTGCCATGGACTGCCATAGGCCGGGCCCAGTGGCTCACGCCTGTAATCCCAGCACTTTGGGAGGCGGAGGCAGGCAGACCACCTGAGGCCGGCAGTTCAAGACCAGCCTGACCAACATGGAGAAACCCGGTCTCCACTAAAAATACAAAAATTAGCTGGGTGTAGTGGCACATGCCTGTAATCCCAGCTACTCGGAGCCTGAGGCAGGAGAATTGCTTGAACCTGGGAGGCGGAGGTTGCAGTGAGCTGCCGAGATGGCGCCATTGCATTCCAGCCTGGGCAACAAGAGCGAAACTCCATCTCAAAAAAAAAAAAAAAAAAAACTGCCATAAATAAAAGATAAGTCACGCATCCCTCTGCATTACCCTTGGGCTCCCAGCTCTATACCCCCTCCCAGGCAGTGCCCTCTCTCTGAACTTCACCTCTCAAGGCTGGTGGTGAAGGGGCACCTCCTGGAGCTCAGGGAAGGTACAAGGCCTGTTCTCGCCACTCCTGGGTGAAGGCTTAGTGGCCAAGGTCCCGGATGCCACTTGGTACCTCAGTTAGAAATAATCATGTCTCCTCTGGTCCACTCGTTTCAGGCTCCCCTGCAAACTTTGCTGTGTACACTGCCCTGGTGGAACCCCATGGGCGCATCATGGGCCTGGACCTTCCGGATGGGGGCCACCTGACCCATGGGTTCATGACAGACAAGAAGAAAATCTCTGCCACGTCCATCTTCTTTGAATCTATGCCCTACAAGGTAAGCATGTGTTTCTCTCCTAGCTTTTATTTCCTTGGGAAACCTCTGATGCTTGGCTGTGCCTGCAGGGGTAAGTTTGGTTTATGTGTCACTACAGGAAGTCCCCACCTCGCACCGTTTTTAATTTCCTTGCAGCGGGGACTCCTCAGGTTTTCAGGACCCGCTGGGGCAGCTGGGATGGAGAGACGAGGGTCTGAGCTGAGGCCACAGGGAAACCAGTGAGGGAGGCAACTACTGAGGAGAGTTCAGATGTGGCAGGGGCAGTGGCAACTGCTTGGAATAGCAACCCTGGGGAATAGCAACCAGGTCACTACAGTTGGACCCCAGCAACAGCCACCACCTCTGCAGCTCTGCCCTCGCCTGGTGACATCTCTGCTCGGAGCCCCTGTGGGCCAGCAGCAGCACAAGGATGCAGTAGCTACAGGCATGGCAACGTCCCCAGCTCCAGCACCAAAACCAGCAGCCCGGCACCATCCACAGCCACAGTCCTCCATGGCCACGTTAGGGCTAGCCCCTGCCTGTGTATAGTGGCTACAGAGGAACAGACAGTGGTTTGACTTAGGGCGTTCAACTTTAGGATAGTGCAAAAGTGACATGCGTTATTAGCTGTACTTCAAGCCCCCCATACGACCATTCTGCTTTTCAGTTTCAGTACAGTATTCAGTAGATTACATGAGATAGTCAACACCGTATTATAAAATAAGGTTTGTGTTTGACTATCTTGCCCAGTGGAGGGTACCACAGTGTCCTCAGCATGTTTAAGGTAGGCCAGACTAGGTTGTGATGTTTGGTAGGTTAGGTATATTACATGCATTTTTGACTTTATGATATTTTCAGCTTAATGATGAGCTTATTGGAATGTAACCCCATAAGTTGAGGAGCACCTGTATGGCTCAGGTGTACACCCCATTGCCATTGCCACCCCACTGCACATACCTGATAACGCAGCCAGCCCAGCAGTGGAACCAACACCATCAGAACCAGTGCCAAGTGCTGCCTCTAGGGTGTGCAGGGCCCCAGGCAAATACTTGTTTTTCGTGGGACCCGTCTGTATAAACAGTTGGGTCAAAAAATGCCTGTAAGATGTGTGGGCTTATTCAGGCATGGTGATTTATCTATAAAAACGAAGGATAATGGGAAGAAGAGGTAACTTGCTTTTTCTTTTAGTGTCCAGTGTTGGTGATTCTTTCTAGTGTCCCGGAACCATCTTTTCATGTTCTTTATTAATAAATGTGCCATTCCTGCTTAGTTTCATGTTTGTTACCATGAAAAAAGGTAGCACTGCATCCTTCTGCTTGGCTGGCATTGCATGGTCTTGGGTGCATGCTGTCCATGGTTCTGTGTGTACTCAGCCTTTGTCTCAGTGCTGGTGATTGCACGTGTGCTCTTTTTTGCAGTCATTTCTTTTCACAGAACACCTAGGTGTTTGCAGTCACAGATCTCCTCATTGGCCAAGGCCAGCCTTGAAGCTAGATTTTGAAACATGTCACAATAGTAACAAAATAGTTTGTCTTGGCTGGGCTCGGTGGCTCACACCTGTAATCACAGCACTTTGGGAAGCTGAGGTGGGCAGATCACCTGAGGTCAGGAGTTCGAGACCAGCCTGGCCAACATGTTCAAACCCTGTCTCTACTAAAAATACAAAAAATTCCTCAGGTGTGGTGGTGCACACCCGTAGTTCCAGCTACTCAGGAGGCTGAGGAGGGATAATTGCTTGAACCTGGGAGGCGGAGGTTGCAGTGAGCCAAGATTGCTCCATTGCACTCCAGAGTGGGCGACAAGAGTGAAACTCCATCTCAAAAAAAATAAATAAATAAGAAAGGCAGGGTGCAGTTGCTCACGCTTGTAATCCCAGCACTTTGGGAGGCTGAGGCAGGCGGATCATGAGGTCAGGAGTTCAAGACCAGCCTGGCCAACACAGTGAAACCCCGTCTCTACTAAAAATACATGGTGGTGCACTCCTGTAATCCCAGCACTTTGGGAGGTCGAAGTGGGCGGATCATCCGAGGTCAGGAGTTCGAGACCAGCCTGGCCAACATGGTGAAAGCCTTCTCTACTAAAAATACAGAAATTAACTGGACGTGGTGGCGGGCACCTGTAATCCCAGCTACTCAGGAGGCTGAGGCAGGAGAACCACTTGAACCTGGGAGGCGGAGGTTGCAGTGAGCCAAGATTGCACCAGTGCACTCCAGCCTAGGTGACAGAGCAAGACTCCATCTCCAGAAAAAAAAAGAAAGAATCTGCGTCCCGCACCCAGTTCCCTCCAGCCACCCCCGTCTTTGATGTACATTGTGCAGGCTGCAGTCCTGTGGGTGCAGTGAGGGGACCCACCTCAGGATGGGCATGGAGAGGTGGGGCCTGGGACCCTGGCCAGCTTGGGCAGCAGGAGGTGCAGCTCACCCGCTGTGGGGGTGATTTGAGTCCTGCCCTTGGCGGACAGGAGGAGGAGACAGACCTTATTGGCATTCATCAGCAGCCAGAGGCAGCTCACCTCCACCCCACCGGGCTGCAGAGTTGGAGGTTAGGGGGTGTCCCAGGGCCACTGCCCTGCCCAGCCTTCACCAGACCGCCTGCCTCCACCTTCAGCCCCTGCCCCACTCCACTGCAAGAGCCCCACGCAGGGCCAGGCTAGAGCAACAGCAACATTAACCTTCTATTTTGTGTTTTTGGCCCATCCCCACTGTGACTCGAGAATTCCTCCCTGTCCCTGGTCCTAAGTGACTGCTGGGGTCTCCTTCCTTATCCTCTGTGCACTGTGGACCCCATCTGCAGTTTATTATAAATGCCTATGAATTCTTCTAGGAGTTGTTCTCTTGTCTCATTTTCAAGATTAAAAAAAGAAAAGAAAAACCTTTGAAAAACCCATTAAATTAAAAAGGGAGAAAGCAGCACAGGCTTTTTTTTTTTTTTTTTTTTTTCCGGTAATTGTGGCTACACAAAAAATTTTAGAATTATGTCCATTTTTTTTAAATCTTTTTTTTTTTCCTTTTTGTGGAGAACAAGATCTCACTATGTTGCCCAGGCGGGTCTCAAACTCCTGGACTCAAGCTATCCTACTGCCTCTGTCTCCCTAAGAGCTGGGATTACAGGCGTGAGCCACCATGCCCGGTGAATTACGTCCATTTTTACTGGAGGTCAGCTGTTGATATTTCATTTCATAAAACGGTTTCTTTGCCAAATTCAGGTGACTGAGAAAGAACCACACCCCTGAAGCAAAACACAGCAAACAAAACCACAAATCATCTTTCAGCTTGACTTTCTAGATGAGGTCTTGGTTCCCGAAACCTTGTGGCAAGCTTCTATAGTTGGGTTGGATTATAACTGCCTTTTTTTATTTGGAAAGAGTGACCACCAATCCTGAAACCTTTCACTCCAGATGTGCTGGTAGTTTCTGAGGGGGACACCAAGGTAAGAGGAAGGAAGGTTGGGTCAGGGCCTTCAGAACAGGGAGCCTCTCTGCACATCTCCTCTTCCCTGAGGCTTCTCAGATCCCAGAGCCCAGTTTTTCCTGTGGTGCGCTCTATGCTCTGCTGGTTATGTGTGCTTACCCATGACTTTTTTTTTTTTTTTTTTTTTAAGACAGTATCTGGCTCTGCCTCCCAGGCTGGAGTGCAGTGGCTCTGTCTCGGCTCACTGCAACCTCTGCCTCCTGGGCTCAAGCGATCTTTCCTCTTCAGCCTCCCAAGTAGCTGGGACTAGAGGCGCATGCCACCATGCCTGGCTAATTTTTGTATTTTTTGTGGAGACAAGGTTTTGCCATGTTGCCCAGGCTGGTCTTGAACTCCTGGGCTCAAGTGATCTGTCCAACTCAGCCTCCCAAAGTGCTGGTATTACAGGCATGAGCCACCGCATCCGGCTGACCCCTTTTTTTTTTTTTTTTTTTTTTTGAGACAAAGTTTCCCTCTTGTCGCCCAGGCTGGAGTGCAGTGGCACGATCTCAGCTTACTGCAACCTCTGCCTCCCGGGTTTAAGCGATTCTCCTCCCTCAGCTTCCTGAATCGCTAGGACTGCAGGTGTGTACCACCATGCCTGGCTAATTTTGTGTTTTTAGTAGAGGTGGGGTTTCACCATGTTGGCTAGGCTGGTCTCAAACTCCTGACCTCAGGTGATCTGACCCCCTCGGCCTCCCAAAGTGCTGAGATTACAGATGTGAGCCACCACGCCTGGCTGACCCATATGTTTATAGAAGTTTAATAAAATGAACTTCCTAAGAGATGTGTTGCCAGAAAAGAAAAATTATTTTAAATTTTACATCGAGATCTACAATCTGTTTGGAATTGACTTTTTTTTTTAAACAAATTATATATAATTATGGGATGCACAGTGATGTTATGATTTGTATATACAGTGTGGAACTATTGAATCAAGTTAACTAACATATCCCACTCCTTAAATATTTATTATTTTTCTTCCTGTCTAACTGCAACTTTGTACCCTTTGCTCAGTATCTCTCCATTGTCTGCCACCCTCCAGTGACTGGTAACCACATTCTACCCTGCTTCTGTGAGTTTGATTGTTTTATTTATTTATTTATTTATTCAATTTTAATTTTTTTTTTTTGAGACAGAGTCTCACTTTGTCGCCCAGGCTGGAGTGCAGTGGCACCATCTTGACTCACTGCAACCTCCGCCTCCTGGGTTCAAGTGATTCTCCTGCCTCAGCCTCCCGAATAGCTGGGATTACAGGCATACGCCACCACGCCTGGCTAATTTGTGAATGTTTAGTAGAGACGGGGTTTCACCATGTTGGCCAGGCTGGTCTCAAACTCCTGTCCTCAGGTGGTCCACCTGCCTCGGCCTCCCAAAGTGCTGGAACTGCAGGCATAAGCCACCACGCCCAGCAGTTCGATTGTTTTAGATTTCACATAGAAGTAAGATCACATGGCCAGGTGCGGTGGCTCACACCTATAATCTCAGCACTTTGGGAGGTCGAGGTAGGAGGCTCACTTGAGTCCAGGAGTTCGAGACCAGCCTGGGCAACATGGTGAAACCCCATCTCTACAAAAATATAAGAATTAGCCGGGTGTGGTGGCACTGCCTGTGGTCCCAGCTATTCAGCAGGCTGAGTGGGAGAATCGCTTGAGCCTGGGAGGTAGAGGTTGCAATGAGCCGAGATGGCACCACCGCACTCCAGCCTGGGTGACAGAGTGAGACTCTGTCTCAAAAAAGAAGTGAGATCATGCAGTATTTGTCTGTCTGAGCCTGGCGTATTTCACTTAGCATAAGGTCCTCCAAGTTCATCGGTGTTGTTGCAAATGACAGAATTTCTTTTTTCAGACTGATTATTATTACATTGTTTATATATATATGTGTCACATTTCCTTTGTCCATTCATCTGTTGATGGACATGGCTTTATTCCATAACTTGGCTATTGTGAATAGTGCTGCAGTGAACATGGGAGTGCACATGTCTCTTTGACATACTGATTTCAAGTTCTTAAGATATAGATTCACAAGTGGGATTGCTGAATATGGAATTGATTTGTGTGGGTGAGGCGGGCATCCAGATAACATTTTTGTCCAAATGGATGCCCAGTTGACCTAGTGCCATTGATTGAAAAGGTCATCCTCTCCCCACTGCACTGCAGCGTCACCACTGGCATGGATCCAATGACCTGTGTTGTGTGTGGTTCTGCTTCTGGTTAAGCCAGATGCTCTGCCCTTCCATGAATGCGTGCTGCCTTAATTACTATAATTTGTCAAGCATTTTGTGACACAAAATACACAACGCAATGATGTTTTGTGTAAAGGTTTGGTATGATTTTCCTTTTATGGTTTTTGTTATTTACATTTCATTTTCTATCTTTCTTGCTTTTATATACTTTTTGGCTTTTTTTTTTTTTTTTTTTCAGATGGAGTCTCGCTCTGTTGCCCAGGCTGGAGTGCTGGAGTGCAGTGGCACAATCTCGGCTCACTGCAAGCTCCACCTCCCGGGTTCACGCCATTCTCCTGCCTCAGCCTCCCAAGTAGCTGGGATTACAGGCGCCCGCCACCATATCTGGCTAATTTTTTGCATTTTTAGTAGAGACGGGGTTTCACCGTGTTAGCCAGGATGGTCTCGATCTCCTGACCTCATGATCTGCCCGTCTCAGCCTCCCAAAGTGCTGGGATTACAGGTGTGAGCCACCGCGCCCAGCCCCTACTTCTTGTTTTTCAATGTTGTATCCAGTGACCTTGCTAAATTTGCTTATTCTAACAGTTGGCCCCTAGCATCTTGATTTTCTAGGTATATTGTGTTGTCTGTGTGTAATGTCAGTTTTTAAATTTCTTCTTTCCTAATCGTTATGCCTTTTGTTTCTTTTTCTTGCCTCATTATACTTGGAATAGAAGTAGTATTAGCAGGCATTTTGGTCTTGTTCCTGAAGGTAACCATTTTGGTTTCCATTGTGTGGTCCCGTCACATTTGTTTCATTCTGCAGGTGCTTTTTGGTTCCTTCTCAGCAGGTAGTGCCCCAGCAGCAGGGCTCACTACAACCCTGGGACTCCTCAGGGACTCCTGGGTCTGTGAGCCATACTTGGTTGAGCAGGCTGAACACACCAGTATCCATCCTGTCTCACCCTCAAGTCCTCATCTAGGACATCATTCCTCTTGTCATGGTGGGTGGAGCCAGTTCAAGTGGGAGGACAGGAGGCAGGTGTGGTTGGAGGAAGCAGCCTGAACCTGCCTCCCTGACATTCCACAGGTGAACCCAGATACTGGCTACATCAACTATGACCAGCTGGAGGAGAACGCACGCCTCTTCCACCCGAAGCTGATCATCGCAGGTGATGCGCGGGGCGGAAAGTCACCTTGTTCACCAGTAGCCTGGTGCCTCTTACAGAATGAGGATGGAAAGATGTTCGCACCCTGTTGAGCCCACTGCTAGTTTCTGCCCTGGATAACTGAGTTTCTGGGGTCTACATATATTAGTTTCTTTCAGGATACAGATGTGTGTTTGCTGCTTTTTGTGCTATGTAGATTAAGATGTGAGACTGTTCTCAGAGAAGCATCTAGAAATGTCAGGCCCTGACTGCGCTGGCAATAGTAGTTGGGGCCATCTCAACCACCAAGACGTTGAAGAGTTAGAGTGGTTGCCTTTAGCACAGAGGTGCTTTTTGAGGGCATTCTCCATTTTTGCTCTGAGACTTTAAGGGAAGAAATCTCTGGGCTTTCAGATCTGCACATCTAGAGGCCACTGTGAAGCCAACTCAGCTGGCCGGTGGACATCTCTGATGCAGCTGTGTCACCTTTCCTGTCTCAGGAACCAGCTGCTACTCCCGAAACCTGGAATATGCCCGGCTACGGAAGATTGCAGATGAGAACGGGGCGTATCTCATGGCGGACATGGCTCACATCAGCGGGCTGGTGGCGGCTGGCGTGGTGCCCTCCCCATTTGAACACTGCCATGTGGTGACCACCACCACTCACAAGACCCTGCGAGGCTGCCGAGCTGGCATGATCTTCTACAGGAAAGGTGAGCTCCCGAATGTTGGGTACAGATGGGTACCATGGTTTACATTTCTCCTGTGGGGGTTCAGATTCAGTTGAGGGAGCTGGGAAAAACTCTGACCTGGGATCCTTGGAAAATATTAAGATCCCAGTCCCTTAAAGAGCTGCTTAGGAAGGAGCAGTGACAGGCTTTACAGAAAGGATTCCCGGCCAGGTGAGGTGGCTCGCGCCTGTAATCCCAGCACTTTGGGAGGCCGAAGCGGGCAGATCACGAGGTCAGGAGATCAAGACCATCCTGGCTAACACGGTGAAACCCCGTCTCTACTAAAAACACGAAAAATTAGCCGAGTGTGGTGGTGGGCACCTGTAGTCCCAGCTACTCAGGAGGCGAAGGCAGGAGAATGGCGTGAGCCTGGGAGGTGGAGCTTGCAGTGAGCTGAGATTGTGCCACTGTACTCCAGCCTGGGCGACAGAGCGAGATGCCGTCTCAAAAAAAAAAAAAGAAAGAAAGAAAGGAATCCCCAGAAGGAGACTGTCAGCCACAGCTCCTGCTTCACTTTTGTGCATCCAGGTCCTAGGAACATAGGAGGGGGATCAGCAACCACTATGTGTTAGGATGGCGCCGGTTGCTGAACTCGAGAGGCAGGTGTTTGAATGAAAGGAGGGTGCATGGCTGGCTGGGGGCCACTGGGAGGCCTCACAAGGCTGCATTATTCTGGTGAACTTACAGTGATCCATCATGTTTCTCAAAGAGAAAGACTCATAGTAGTCAAACTAGAAGACATGGATGTATAAACATTAATATCATTTTAGTGAAGGTTTTTCTTTCCATTACCTCATAACCTACCCCTAGGCACTCCCCTTATTTTCGAATTCCCATACCTGGGAAAGCCTGTTAGTGGTCAGGTCATCATTTAGCCTGTGGTGAGACCTGATGCGCCAACTTTGCATCAGCAGAGACACCAGCCCTCTGGTGACTACATTACTCTTTTTTTTTTTTTTTTTTTTTTTTTTTTTTAGTATTTATTGATCATTCTTGGGTGTTTCTCGTGGAGGGGGATTTGGCAGGGTCATAGGACAATAGTGGAGGGAAGGTCAGCAGATAAACAAGTGAACAAGGGTCTCTGGTTTTCCTAGGCAGAGGACCCTGCGGCTTTCCGCAGTGTTTGTGTCCCTGGGTACTTGAGATTAGGGAGTGGTGATGACTCTTAATGAGCATGCCGCCTTCAAGCATCTGTTTAACAAAGCACATCTTGCACCACCCTTAATCCATTTAACCCTGAGTGGACACAGCACATGTTTCAGAGAGCACGGGGTTGGGGGTAAGGTTATAGATTAACAGAAGAATTTTTCTTAGTACAGAACAAAATGGAATCTCCTATGTCTACTTCTTTCTACACAGACACAGCAACAATCTGATTTCTCTATCTTTTCCCCACATTTCCCCCTTTTCTATTCGACAAAACCGCCATCGTCATCATGGCCTGTTCTCAATGAGCTGTTGGGTACACCTCCCAGACGGGGTGGCGGCTGGGCAGAGGGGCTCCTCACTTCCCAGAAGGGGCGGCCGGGCAGAGGGGCTCCTCACTTCCCAGAAGGGGCGGCCGGGCAGAGGCGCCCCCCCACCTCCTGGAAGGGGTGACGGCCAGGCGGGGGCTGCCCCCCACCTCCCTCCCGGACGGGGCGGCTGGCTGGGCGGGGGCTGCCCCCAACCTGCCGGACAGGGCAGCTGCCGGGCAGAGATGCTCCTCACTTCCCAGACGGGGCGACTGCCAGGCGGAGGGGCTCCTCACTTCTCAGATGGGGCAGCCGGGCAGAGACCCTCCTCACCTCCCAGACGGGGTTGCAGCCGGGCAGAGGTGCTCCTCACATCCCAGACGGGGCGGCGGGGCAGAGGCGCTCCCCACATCTCAGATGATGGGCGGCCGGGCAGAGACGCTCCTCACTTCCTAGACGGGATGGCGGCCGGGAAGAGGCGCTCCTCACTTCCCAGACTGGGCAGCCAGGCAGAGGGGCTCCTCACATCCCAGATGATGAGCGGCCAGGCAGAGACGCTCCTCACTTCCCAGACGGGGTGGCGGCCAGGCAGAGGCTGCAATCTCGGCACTTTGGGAGGCCAAGGCAGGCGGCTGGGAGGTGGAGGTTGTAGCGAGCCGAGATCACACCACTGCACTCCAGCCTGGGCAACATTGAGCACTGAGTGAACGAGACTCCGTCTGCAATCCCGGCACCTCGGGAGGCCGAGGCTGGCAGATGACTCGCGGTTAGGAGCTGGAGACCAGCCCGGCCAACACAGCAAAACCCCGTCTCCACCAAAAAAATACGAAAACCAGTCAGGCGTGGCGGCACGTGCCTGCAATCCCAGGCACTCGGCAGGCTGAGGCAGGAGAATCAGGCAGGGAGGTTGCAGTGAGCCGAGATGGCGGCAGTACAGTCCAGCTTCGGCTCGGCATCAGAGGGAGACCGTGGAAAGGGAGAGGGAGACCGTGGGGAGAGGGAGGGGGAGGGGGAGGGAGAGGGAGAGGGCTGTTCGACTACATTACTCTTACCCGAGGCAGGGTCTTCTTGCCCAGCCCCTGGCTGGGACTAGACACAGCCACATGCCCCCTCAGCTTCTCAGCACCCCGTTGCCTCTGTGCTCCTCCAAGGACCGTTTTTAGCTGTGCTGATGTTTCTGAGGCAGGTAGCCATTCCCACCCGCCCAGGAGACATTTGGTTTTTTCCCCCACTGTGTGTTGATGTGATTTATTTCACCCAGTGCTGAGGGACTCCGGAGCCAGCCTATCAGAGCAAGTACTAGCTCTGCCGCACACCCGCTGTATGACTTTAGGGCTAGCTGTGCAGCCTCTCTGTTCCTCATTTCCTCACCTCTAGAGTGGGGACTATAATAATAGTACCTGTCCCTTTGGACTGCTGTTTTGAGGATTAAATGAATTTATGTAAAGTGATTAGAGCAGTTCTTGGCTCACTAGAAGCTCTAGATAGATGTTACCGATTATGACTGAATAGTAGCTATTATTGATGGTTAACTTTTTCTCAGAAAGGAACCTTATTCTTCATATTAGCCACATGAGCGTTGTCTCTTTCAATGCATCTTGGAGACTCTTTAAATTTTATTTTTGGGGACAGGGTCTCACTCTGTCACTCAGGCTGCAGTGCAGTGGTGCAATCAAAGCTCACTGCAACTTCAACTTCCCGGGCCCAAGCAATCCTCCTACCTCACCCTCCCACGTAGCTGGGACCACAGGTATGCGCCACCATGCCTGGCTAATTTTTAAATTTTTCTGTGGACATGGGTTCTCTCTTTGTTGCTCATGCTGGTCTTGAACTCCTGGGTTCAAGTGATCCTCCCACCTCTGCCTCCCAAAGTGCTGGGATTACATGGACTTTTTTTTTCCCCGGAGATGGAGTTTTGCTCTTGTCGCCCAGGCTGGAGTGCAGTGGTGCAATCTCGGCTCGCTACAACCTCCACCTCCCGGGTTCAACGCATTCTCCTGCTTCAGCCTCCTGAGTAGCTGGAATTACAGATGCCCGCCACCATGCCCAGCTAATTTTTGTATTATTAGTAGAGACAGGGTTTCACTATGTTGACCCAGCTGGTCTTGAACTCCTGACCTTAATTGATCCACCTGCCTCAGCCTCCCAAAGTGCTGGGATTACACGCATGAACCACCACGCCCAGCCACATGGACATTTCTTTAAGGAAAGATGTCCAGGGCAAATTCTTGAATTCTTGGTTACAATGTTAGTGGAGGGAAATTTCTGTCCTTTTTTTTTCTTTTTTTCTTTTTGAGACAGAATGTCACTCTGTCACCCAGGCTGGAGTGCACTGGCGCGATCTTGGCTCACTGCAACCTCTGCCTCCCGGGTTCAAGCGATTCTTCTGCCTCAGCCTCCCAAGTAGCTGGGACTACAGGTGCACACCACCACGCCCGGCTAATTTTTGTATTTTTAGTAGAGACGGGGTTTCACCATGTTGGCCAGACTAGTCCCAAACTCCTGACCTCGTGATCCGCCCGCCTTGGCCTCCCAAAGTGCTGGGATTACAGGTGTGAGCCACCGCGTCCAGCCTGTCCTTTCATTTTTAAGGCCTTGTTCTAGTTGTGTTAAGAAGAGATGCCATCAGAGGAGGCAGGTGGACAGGTGAGGTGCTGAAACCAGTATTCCAGCCAGAGTCATCCATGATGTGTTGGTTTCCAAAAAATAAAGATACTGGTCTGCCCTCAGGAGGCAAGGGTCCCCTCTGCTCCGCTGTGTTACAAATCAGTTCTCCATGCCAGGATAAAGGCCAGGCTTGTGCTTGATTCTTCCCTGGCCAGTCTGGGTTTGAGCCTAAAAAGAAAAAGAGGGGACAGCCCCTATGATCCCACTGTGATGTTTTTCTTCCTCCAGGAGTGAAAAGTGTGGATCCCAAGACTGGCAAAGAGATTCTGTACAACCTGGAGTCTCTTATCAATTCTGCTGTGTTCCCTGGCCTGCAGGGAGGTCCCCACAACCACGCCATTGCTGGTAAAACATCATCTGCCTCTGCTCATCCTGTAGCCCCTAATTCCCATCCCACCTGTCCTCCAAAATCGTGTGCCAGGACTTCCACGCTGGGGAAAAAGCTGGAGGGCTGTCTCTGTGCAGGAGATGCTAACACAGAGTAGGGCATGGTTGAGACTGGCCTAAGGTAGGGACAGTAGGGAATGGCATCCACTCCACGTGTACGGCCACCCAGAGGCAAACCTGTGGGTCAGGCCGAGTTTTGTAAAGTACATGGCACCCTCTTAGGGAAGGAATCTGACAGTTAGGAGAGGGCAAAGCACAGGTGAGAGAGATTGGGGTCCAGACCCTGCAGGATGAGTCCCCTTGCCCTTGATGGGCCTGGCCTGTGGCAGTGGAGGACCCTGTGTCTGATCCTCACACCCTGCACCAGTGCCACGCCAGTGACTCCTGAGTCAGATTCCATGCCTGCCCAGCAGGTTCTCATTGACTTGCTCTTTGTCTCTTTGTACAAGTAGCTTAGGACATTTGTGATGACTCAAGAGTTATCCCGCTGCCTTCATGGAACAAGGACATTGGTAGCACTCATTCCCGCTAAGGGGCTCAGGATGAAGGTGTAGCTTCTCAGGAGACGCACAAGCACTTCTAGAGAGGAACCTGGGGACAGCAGCGATTGGGAGATATTAGGCATAAGGGGTGGAAGGAGCTGGGGTCCCGGGTGTGTTCTCATGTTCTCCCATCACACCTACACACTTGGCACCCACAGCTGCTTTAACTCTGGGATGCAGGGATCACCCCATCCCCAGCTGCTCTGGACGCCCTTTCCAGTTGTTTTCACAAGTATTGATTGGAGGCTCTGTGCGGGATGCAGGCCCGTGGGTTCTCCTTATCCTCCATTCTCTGTGTCCCTTGAAGCAGCCCTCAGGATTGAATGTGAGATACCAGATAAGTCTGAATGGTGCAGGGTAGGACGAAGGCTGCACCTCCTACCTGCGCTCTGACCTTAGAGAGCTGCATAATCTGGCATCAGAGCATCGGCTCTTAGGCCTGCTAAGTAATCGTTTTCACACATCAAGATTAAAAAGGATGTAAAATCCATCTTGCTTAACAGCTTTGGTATGGTAATGTTAGCACAGAACTTCCATGCTTAGGGAAAGGTTACCTCAACAGCAGTTCCTCAGAGAGAAGCATATCAGCTGGGCGCGGTGGCTCATGCCTATAATCCCAGCACTTTGGGAGGCTGAGGTGGGTGGGTCACTTGAGCCCAGGAGTTTGAGACCAGCCTGGCCAACATGAAGAAAGCCCGTCTCTTACCAAAAACATAAAAAATTAGCCAGGCGTGGCCAGGCGCAGTGGCTCACGCCTGTAGTCCCAGCACTTTGGGAGGCCGAGATGGACAGATCACTTGAGGTCAGGAGTTCCAGAACAGCCTGGCCAACATACAGTGAAACCCTGTCTCTACTAAAAAATACAAAAATTAGCTGGATGTGGTGGCACGTGCCTGTAGTCCCAGCTACTTGGGAAGCTGAGGCAGGAGAATTGCTTGAACCCGGGAGGCGGAGGTTGCAGTGAGCCGAGATTGCACCACTGCACTCCAGCCTCAGCGACAGAGCGAGACTCCATCTCTCAAAAAAAATTAGCCAGGTGTGGTAGGATGCACCTGTAGTCCCACCTACTCGGGAGACTGAGATGGGAGGATCATCTGAGCCCTGAACATCAAGGCTGCAGTGAACTGTGATCACGCCACTGTACTCCAGCCTGGGCAATGGGAGTGAGACCCTGTCTCAAAAAATATAAAAATAAAAAATTTTTTTAGCTGGGCATGGTGCTCATGCCTGTAATCCCAGCACTTGGGGAGGCCAAGGCAGGCGGATCACTTGAGGTCAGGAGTTCAAGACCAGCCTGGCCAATATAGTGAAACCCTGTCTCTACTAAAAATACCAACAAAAATTAGCTGGACATGGTGGCATGTGCCTGTAGTCCCAGCTGTTCGGGATGCCGAAGCAGAAGAATCACTTGAACCTGGGAGGCAGAGGTTGCAGTGAACCGAGATCACACCACTGCACTCCAGCCTGGGCAACAAGAGTGAAACTCCATCTCAAAAAAAATAAAAATAATAAATAATAAAAAATTTTTAAAAATATATCATTTTGGAGGAAAAGATAATCCAACGCAAAAGCAAGGGGTGACATTGAAAAGCAAGGAAGCTTGAGTAAAAACAGGAATGTTGTTTGACTCATCATCTGTGTATGATTCTATCCTAGCCTCCTGACCCATTGTCTCTTCTTGTCCAGGGGTTGCTGTGGCACTGAAGCAAGCTATGACTCTGGAATTTAAAGTTTATCAACACCAGGTGGTGGCCAACTGCAGGGCTCTGTCTGAGGCCCTGACGGAGCTGGGCTACAAAATAGTCACAGGTAGAGACACAGATGGTGTTCAGCAGGCCTGTTCTTGTGGTTGTATTAAGGCTTGCTTCTCAGTTTGTGCAACCAGGATGTGGCCCAGGCTCTGCTGCTGCAGCTGCAATGATGGGCCCACCTTGGGAGGAGGTCAGCCTCGCCTCCAACTGGAAAGCCTCCCCCTGCCTCAGACCAGCCAGCCGCCCCCTTGGGTGAGCCACAGATGATGGGAATAGTGGTTGCCATTGGTCACCAGCATAAGGACTGCTTGTCCTCAGAACAGCTTTGCAGGAGGATGACCTGAGGCTCAACTGAGAGGTTGGGCTGTAGTGGTCACACACCTGGTAGGTGGCACCAGGACTGTGTGGTGATGCCTTGCACTGTGCCAGGGGAGTGTCTTCTCTCACCCCGCTGAGCTGGGGGTGCAGGGGCTCTCCCCTCCCAGTTTCCTGCATATTCCTGGGGAGTTGGCTTGCTTTAGGCATGTTTGCTTGGATCTGTACATTCTGGAGCTGATGGGCTGTGAATGAGATGGACTTCCCAGGTCAGGGCCCCACTCTGGGGTGCCATCCACCTCACAGTCACTGCAGCTTTCCACGGAGAACGCATTTTTTTGGCAGGCAGCATACTCAGTCCTCCGGAGGAAGGGCGACTTTATACCTAGTCCCACAAGACTGCCGATTGTGCTAGCAGTGGTGTGGTCCAGGAATATGGGTCCTGCTGTGTGTAGACCTGAGTGCCCACTCTCTGCACCGTGTCCTTTGCCCTTTACAGGGATTACAGGCCCTCTGATCTAAGGATTGGGGAGGGATTACAGGCCTCCTGGTCTAAGGAGTGGGGCTCCCACCCAATCCTGCATGTGCGGCAGTGCCTGGGAAGGCCGGGCCAGTGCTGTCTCCTCAGCAGTACCAGCCGTACCCTCTTTTATGTTCTACTTCACTTACTTTCTGTTCTCCCTTCATCCTCCATGTCTTCAAATAATAAAGCTCAAGAAGTCCTCGTGCAGACTGTGAACTTCAGGGTGCTTTAGCTCAGGAGTCCCCAACCTCCGGGCCACGGACTAGTACTGGTTTGTGGTCTGTTAGGAACCTGGCCGCACAGCAGGAAGTGAGCTGGGCCGAGAGCATTGCCACCTGAGCTCCGCCTCCTGTCAGATCAGTGGCAGCATTAGATTCTCAGAGGAGCTGAACGCTGGTTTGAACTGCACATGTGAGGGATCTAGGTTGGGCCTAGACACTTTCAAGAAACTATCTTTTTTTTCCTTCTGATTATACCTGCATCCTTATGAGAATCTAATGCCCGATGATCTGAGGTGGAAGTTTCATCCCAAAACCATCCCCCGATGCCATCCGTGAAAAAACTGTCTTCCACATAACCAGTTCCTGGTGCCAAAAAGGTTGGGGACCACTGCTTTAGGTCCCTGTTTCTTAAACTTCAATGTGCACACCACCCCTGGGGCTGTTGGTGCAATGCAGATTCTGACCAGGCCTTGGGTGATGCTGGTCTGGGAGCCACCCTTGGAGTTGTGAGGGTTTAGGCCATAGTCCCTGTCACCATGGGCATCTCATGGCATGGGCCTGCCCTCTCCCTGGTGACTGTGTCATTGTCACTCTGCCATCTGAGGACCCGATGCACATGGCTGAGACAGATAATGCTTGCAAATGCCCTCTTTGGTGCCTGGTGCTATGAGAAGCACTATGTCCAGTATCTTACTTAAACTTCATGACAGCCCTGTGAATTATTGGTCTTTTTGTTACAAATGGGCATCTGAGGTTTCACAATGTTGAGCTGCCTGCCTAAAGCCACACGGCAAGTGGGTGGGCACAGCTGGGGGGCTGCAAAGCCAAGCTGGAGCCCTAGCTCACCCGCATCTTGAAAGGGATCCCCGCAACACAGCTCAGAAGCAGAGGCCCCAGTGCTGTCAGCACCCAAGGCACTACCCCAGCTTAATGAAGGTTCAAAGTGGAAGGATCCTCCTGTATGACCTCGGGCCAGGTCCAGAAAACTCTGTTAGCCTTGCTGTTGTCACCTTACCACTTTGATAATACCATCAGCCTCACAGGATCCGGGAAAAACCTACCACAGGCTACAGTGTCTGGCACCTAATGTGCTCTGTGAACATGCCCCTTACCCCCCAAAGTAAATTGAACTGCTGCCCAATATTCATGCTGCCTTCAGGGGAGCCTTTACCATCAATGTTAGGGAATTGCCCAAGCAACTTGTCAGAGAAAACAAGCCAGGAGCAGCCTGAGGAAGCTGTCCCTTCCCCATGGGAGTGTCAGGCCCTCTGCTGTATGATCAGTTACCCCTTTCAAAAGTGCTCTGTCCTTCCTTTCACATTCTTAGGCACGGGCATCTCTCGTGGGGATTAGAATCCCAGGCCATGTGGTGGGGGTGCTCACCTTCCTGACCTCATCTGCTTTGACTGCCTTCATCCTCGCCTTCGTTTCTCAGAGATTCCTTCACGGCATAGAATTCGCCTGCATTTCTACATGTCCAACTTTGTTTCCAGGTGGTTCTGACAACCATTTGATCCTTGTGGATCTCCGTTCCAAAGGCACAGATGGTGGAAGGGCTGAGAAGGTGCTAGAAGCCTGTTCTATTGCCTGCAACAAGAACACCTGTCCAGGTGAGAATCATCCTTGCCTTCTCCTTCACTCCTCTCCCATCTGCATTTCTTCTGGCCAAAGTTGTAGCTGATGAATATATTGGCTCCGGGGACAGACCTCACATAAAAACTGTAGTGGGGGCTGGGCACGGTGGCTCACGCCTGTAATCCCGGCACTTTGGGAGGCCGAGGCAGGCGGATCACTTGAGGTCAGGAATTCGAGACCAGCCTGGCCAAAATGGTGAAATCCTGTCTCTACTAAAAATAGAAGAATTAGCTGGGCATGGTGGTGCATGCCCGTAATCCCAGCTACTTGGAAGGCTGAGGCAGAAGAGTCGCTTGAACCCGGGAGGCAGAGGTTGCAGTGAGTGGAGATTGTACCACTGCACTCCAGCCTTAGCAACAGAATGAGACTCTGTCTAAAAAAAAAAAAACTGGGCCAGGTGCAGTGGTTCACACCTGTAATCCCAGCACTTTGGGAGGCCGAGGTGGGTGGATCACGAGGTCAGGAGATTGAGAAGGCTAACGCGGTGAAACCCTGTCTCTACTAAAAATGCTGTGGTGGCACACACCACGGTCCCAGCTACTCAGGAGGCTGAGGCAGAAGAATTGCTTGAACCCAGGAGGCAGAGGCTGCATTGAGCCGAGACTGCGCCACTGCACTCCAGCTTAGGCGACAGTGAGACTCCGTCTCAAAAAAACAAAAACAAAAACAAAAAATGGAGCGGGGGCAGGGACCATACCTTGGCTGTCTCTTGGCTGTGCCTTTGTACTTGGCCCTGACCCTGCCAGGGAGCAAAAAGACTGATGTAGAGCTGTTGGAGGTGGTACATTCATCAGATGAGGGAGGTCAGGGCCTCCGGAATCCAGAGGCTGCATTTCTCTGTGGGTTGTTAACAAAATATTGATGACGCATCTCAGACCCAGACAGATGTTACCCTCATTTTTAGGAGCAAGGGGCACATCAGACCACTTTGTGTACTAGTAATTAAGTCAGAGTGGCCAAACGTGGTTGTGCCTCCTTGTGCCTTGGGTTCTACTTTAGTTTCTGAATCAGTTGTACTCCTTGCTAGGGACAGCCAGTATCCTCAGGCCAGTTCTCTTTTGCCCACATGTCCCTTTTTAAATGCACCACCATCACAGTGGTGACAATGTGACTTAGGGACAGAGCCCCGTTTATCTTGTAGGTGACAGAAGCGCTCTGCGGCCCAGTGGACTGCGGCTGGGGACCCCAGCACTGACGTCCCGTGGACTTTTGGAAAAAGACTTCCAAAAAGTAGCCCACTTTATTCACAGAGGTAAGGATAAAAGTTTGGAAGTTGCCACATCTTATTGTGTGTATTTAGTTTCTGATTGTGATGAGTAGCTGAGACCCTGCCACTGAAAGACAATTCTGCACCAAGGCTGAGTGTTGGGGTGGGAGACAGCAAAAAACACATGTAAATCACCTTGTCTGAGAGGGTTATAAATTTGGGCTGCCCAGGACATCTGTCCAAGGGTGGGTGCATCTCAGAGTAATTGAGGTAAGCATGGAGACCTTGTGCCCTGCCACACTCCCCAGCTGGGGGACATTCTGACATTTGTGCCTCGGCCCCCAGCCATTGTACCCCCTTTGGTGTGTAGTGTGGGGTGACTCATTTGTGTCTTGTGGCACAGGGATAGAGCTGACCCTGCAGATCCAGAGCGACACTGGTGTCAGAGCCACCCTGAAAGAGTTCAAGGAGAGACTGGCAGGGGATAAGTACCAGGCGGCCGTGCAGGCTCTCCGGGAGGAGGTTGAGAGCTTCGCCTCTCTCTTCCCTCTGCCTGGCCTGCCTGACTTCTAAAGGAGCGGGCCCACTCTGGACCCACCTGGCGCCACAGAGGAAGCTGCCTGCCGGAGGACCCCCACCTGAGAGATGGATGAGCTGCTCCAAAGGGGAACTGTTGACACTCGGGCCCTTTGAGGGGGTTTCTTTTGGACTTTTTTCATGTTTTCTTCACAAATCAAAATTTGTTTAAGTCTCATTGTTAGTAATTCTGGGACAGGTTATTAAAGGATTTAAATTTGAACCTGGCTTTCTCACAGCTGGACATAATTCTAGGAAAATAAAATACTATGTCGCCACTTGGTCATAATCATTTAGATGGTGGTGTAGGGCAAAGCTGTTAGAAAGATTGTAGCGTTTTACTCTCCCTGGGCTTTCCTCCGCCTTGCTGCAACAGAGAGGAAATGCCCATGTCCACAGCTTGTACACACTGCCCCCTCACTATCTTGTTATCCAGTGGCATGCCAAAGGAGAACTGAATTAGCTTCTGAGGCTTCTGCTGTAAATCAGAAGTGTATGTTAGTCAAGAGTAAACAAGATGCACCCAGTATGGTGGGAGGGTTTTGCTGTCAGTAGCTCAAAGTATGGTGTAGAAATGGCCTCCTCCCTCCATCCTGGGAAGTCCCAGTCCCATCCTGGTGTGAGAATCAACCAGGCTTTCCTGCTCCACCTGAGATAACCAACTCCCTCCCGTAATCAGGAAGCCAAATGTCACCTTCCCAAAGAAATTTTATTTTCACGTAGCTGAAGTGCAAAACATAGATGACCATTTTTAATAAGCACAATCAAATTTTTAACCACAGAATGTCTACAAGAATTATAGCTTTAAAAAATACAACCAATTTTTATATTTCAAAAATATTTGAACTCAAATAAATTAATTTCTTAAAAAGTACACTTCTCATACTATGTGTTTGGCATTGACTCTGGTTAACTCTTGTGCAGCAACACCTACGAGATGCTATCACACACGCGCCAGCTGCACTCCTGCACCAGCCGCTGCAACGACTGCACCTCACGTGGTGGCGGGGACTCACATTCACAAGACGGGACGGGAACATGCAGTAATAAAATAGCTTTTTAAAAAATAACACATATAAATTCATCACATAGGATTATGCTTTTCACTGCAACCTTGAAGGTGGCATTTATCTCAATCTGTGACTCCAGCTATTTAGTGGCAGACAATCCCGGTGAGGCAGCCTGTGGTCCCACCTTGTAGGTGGCAGCCCCTGCAATCTGGGGTCTAGCCTGTCGGCGTTTGCTTTATTGTGGGTGGAGCAGCTGCTGCAGAATCTGTGAGTTGACTCACCAGTCCCTACAGTTCTGCTACCAAAGTGGTCTTCAATTTAGGGGCCTGACCCCTCCCCAGCTGGAGACAAGCTGCCATCTCCAGGGCTCGCTGTAAACAGCCTCCACTCTTGGGCTGAATAAGCACTCCCAAGAAGCTGGGCCCCTACCAACAGATTAATCGGCTGCAGAGTGCTCATCCCCTCCCCACACCCCCATCCACCCCTGCCTCCTCCTCCTTTCCACTGCTTTAACCAAACCTTAATGAGGTAAGGCCAGGCTAGGTCAGGGCTCAAAGGAAAATGGGCTCAGGAAAACTTAGTTTGCCCAGCCTTGTCAGCTGAGATTGGTTTTGCTTTCCAGCCAGAAGTAGAAACTTGATGCTTTTTCCTTTTTGCAGTGTTAAAAACCATATCTCCAGTTTTATTATGTTCCATCACAGTTTTGGGGCAAAGCCAGAAAGCTGACTTGTTTGCTTCAAAACACAAACCAAGGCACTGTCTTCTGTGCTTTTCAGGGAGGTGGGAAGGTAAAGGAGACTGCCCACTATAGGGGCTCAGTTCCCCCAAAGGCCTTGCACACCTTCTGATAAACCCCCTGGCTGAGGCAATCCTACTGGCTGTGCAGACAAAGATGTGACAGCAGCACTAGATGCTGACCCAACAAGCAGTGCTGGGCCTGGGCGGTGGGGCATGTTCAGCACTGCGGGCAGCAGTCAGCACATGCAAGACATTCAGTGAGCAGAGGGCTGCCCTCGGCCTCCAACTGCAGCCGCCCTGGCGCGTGAAATGAAATTGGTGGGCCTTCCTAGGATTGTAAAATGGGACTTGTCATTTGTGTGAGGTTGAAATCTACTATACTTTGAATATGGCAACTGTTTTCAACCACTGAAGCAAAGAAGGTAAAGGCCAGATGGGGAATGAAAGGTAAGGTACTGTGGTCTATTTCCAAATTTGGGAGCAATGTGTGTAACTTCAACTGTTGGAGTAAATGAGTTATGGAAAAGCCACAATTTCTAAAATCCCAAGGTTCTACCAAAGGAGTGAGGTTCCTGGGGAAACAGGCATGAGGCAGCAGCTCAGGCTGATGTGTCCTGTGCGATATAAAAAGCTGTGGCCTGATCTCTAAAGTGGGGCTTTTGAAAATCACCAGTCCACAACTACCTGCCTGGCTAGTTTAACCTAGACTGCTTCAGAAGCAAGGGAGGGGGATAATGGACTGGAGAAAAAGCTGACACAAAACTCAAGACAACCAGTTTCAGTACCTGGGCCCTCAAAGCAATAGTGAGGACTGAGAAAGTAGCAAGGGGCACTGATGTCATCTATTTTCTGGGAAGTGTAATTTTTAATGGTTTCATTAAAAACTTACTAACCTTCTACTGGAAGAATACCTCAAATGAAAAATTTTTTTTTTTTGAGACAGTTTTCGCTCTTGTTGCCCAGGGTGGAGTGCAGTGGCGCGATCTCGGCTCACTGTAACCTCTGCCTCCTGGGTTCAAGTGATTCTCCTGCCTCAGCCTCCCGAGTAAGTGGGATTACAGGCACGCACCACCAGACCTGGCTAACTTTCTTTGTATTTTTAGTAGAGATGGGGTTTCACCATGTTGGCCAGGCTGGTCTCCAACTCCTGACCTCAGGTGATCCGCCCACCTCGGCCTCCCAAAGTGTTGGGATTACAGGCGTGAGCCACTGCGCCCGGCCTCAACTGAAAATTCTTGATGAGATTAGTCCCACTGCATAGGTCTCAGCACTGAGGTTTAGAGATGTGAGACTCAGAGTAGGTTTCAGTTCCCCGGAGTGAAGGGGGCATAGGGAGGGGCAGGGCTTCCCAGTGTTAACTGCCTCTGCCCAAATCATGACTCAGTCCTGGTACCACGTCAAGATCCCTTTGAAAGGAAACATACTTTGCATCAAGTAATCCTTTGAAACTGCCACATTGAAAAGTTAGTTTTTAACCCAAATATAAATCTGGGAGCTAAACACTAGTCACGAAGCCATCTTTACTTAATGAAGAACCACCTTGAGGGAGACCAGCCCTGCTTGCCACTTACATGGCTGCCCCTGAGACGGTCTGTTCTGTTCATGCCCCAGCAGCCTTTTGCCTTAGGTTTCAGGACCTTCTGAACCACCCTTGAGGGTGTGTGCCAGCAAATACCTCAAGTGGACTTCTACTTAGGACCACTTGAGGGCACAACTTCAGCTTCTAGAAGGCCAAGTGTGGCTGCAATTCAGGATCTGCCCCAAACTCATCAGCCCTTCCCAAGTTTCCCAGGTGAGAACAGTATGAGCTGTGAATTTCTGTGTTGGTGTGACAGGAATGCCACAGTGGTGGTGCCAGTGATCACTTTCTGACCTTCCTTCCTTCTCAGATAAAATGTTGCACAGTTATGGCCTTGGAGGCCTAAGTAGACAGCAATTAACCAGCCAGTGAGAAAACGAATCAGCATCTAGAACAGGAGGGGAGGGAACCGTAACAGATAAGGGAGCCCACGATTAGAAGCAGGCTCCCTGCACAGCCTCTGCCTCCAGCGCAAGTAACAGACGTTTCACATTTAAAGGCTGCCAAGGTATTGCTGGCGACTCTCCTGTCTGTGAACATGCGCAACGGGCACAGGTACAGAGAACCAATGAGATGTAGGCAGCACCATCTGCCACAAAAGGTTCTCCATCGCAGCCCCAGGAGCAAAATCAAACACCTCTGATGGGAGCAAGGACCCTGAACAGAAGCCAACGGCTGGAGCCAACGGGCCATGCCCTTAAAACGAGGACTTGGACAAGGAGGGAACCACTGGAGTGACGTGATGCAAGCCCTCTTCGGTCACTCTTGGCTTCCACCAGGGGTCTCTGCCTCCTTGATGAGAAGAGAAGCTGGCTGGCTCCATGATGACCTCGATGGCGTACTACAGGCCGATGGGCAGGCCGGGCCTCAGCAGCAGGCGCCAACAGAAGCACACCCAGGGCTGATTCAGGTCCATTTCAGCATAATTTTTGTGGAACAAATTAAAGAAGCAGTAATACCAGAGCTGTCCCCACTTAGGGAATAAAATTTTCAAGGCTGCAAGAAACTCTCTGTCTACAAACCAGTGGCCATTGCCTAAGGAGGCTCGGGGAGGCCAGGGGATCACTATCAGTGGGATAGGTGCTGGCGGAACCAGGGGGTGTCTCCTTCCCAGTTTCAAACTTGTCCTCAGAAGGGGGACTCAACTGGGGACGGCCGTGAGCTGTGGTGACTGAGGTGCACACAGCCTCCCAGAGGCAGAACCTGAAGAGCGCCACGTGGTAGCTCATCCAGGAAATCCGTGCTATTTGAGTTCTCATCGGCTGGGCCAACCACCTGCACCAGCTGACTAAACAGAACCGTTGCTGTCCCAAGCCCACGAGACCCAGTGAGAGGTAGTGAAGTGGTTGCAAAGGTTTATGTGGGTGGGAGCTGGAGTGTGGCCTCTGCCATGTTCACACGGGTCTGCAGACCTTCCCCACGAGGAAGGTCAGTGCTCATGCGCTCTGGCCGGCAGGAGCCAGTGGGCCACCCAGGAGAGCTGCTGGCTGCTCCTCCCTTGCATGGTGGTGATGGCCTCATGGCGCCTCAGCCCTGCTCTGCCTGCTGTGCTCTCCAGCCCCCAAGGTGGTCCTCACCATTGGCTTTGGTCACTTGTGCCCGCTTCACACTAGGACTAGTGAACACTCTGCTCGTTCCTGGTGAAAGAGTATGGGGAGTGAGTCCCAAGGCCCGCTCACAGGCACTTCTCTCCCAGGTAAAGGTGGCGAGGACAGCGGACAGGGTGCTGCTCACGCTCTGTGGCCCTGAGGCCAAGGTCGCATGTTTCCCACGACCCAGAGGGTGGCAGCCTTTCTCACCCCCACTGGCTGGTCCAGGGCCTCCCCTAGGACAGTGGGCTCCAGGAAGCAAATAAAGGGCTGCATCTGGGTCTGAAGGAGGCGATGGGTGTTCTGCCCTCCTGTTTTCCACCAAACCACAACAGTTACCTGGCTGTCACCCTCGTTCATTTTGCCACTCAAGTGTCCGGCAATGCTGAATACAGCCAGTGTGCTCCTCCCATCAGGCTTTGGCCTTCCTGCCCTCACCCTGCCCCACCAAGGGACTGGTGGCTTCCCTTCTGCCCTGGCTGCCAGTCCTCAGAAAACCAAGGCCCCCTCCATATCCAGGGGCCACTCTTCACCAGGGAGCCAAATGTAGCTGTCACCATCCCTCCAGACGCCTTTAGAGGGAGCCAGGCTCCACTTCTGCCCATGTCCAACTTAAAAACTACTAGGAGCCACGTGGGAACCATGCTGCCAGACACCAGAAACTTAAACAGTCCAGCTCAGGCAACTGTTTGGTCATGCCAACCCCTCCCCTCCCCATACCCTGAGTCACAGGTCTTGGTCACAGTGTCTGGGACCGACCTCAGATTTTATACAAAAAGCTGGGGACATAGTCAAACCTGAGCATGGGGTGGCTGGTCCCTGGAGATTCCTGCATGTAGTGCAGCTTCAGCAGCTCAGCCAGGTACTGGACCACCCTAACATCCTCATTCACCAGACCCAGGGTCAGCTTTAGGAAGCTCATCTGGCGGCTGGCTACCAGCTCCTCTGTCTCCTTGTCGTGGGTAGGCAGGTGCAGGTGGTGGCAGAAGGTGTAGAGGAAGGCCTTGGAGCAGAGCTGGGTGAGCATGCTCTGGACATGCAGGTAGTAGGTGCTGCCCCGCTTGATCTGTGTGCGGTGGTCTGCCAGGCGGGGCACCAGGGTGCCTCTGTAAAGGGGGCAGCGCAGGGTTTTGTTGTCAAGGTCCAGGATGCTCGTGTAGCGGCTGTAGCGGCTCAGGGCATGGAGGGTACCGGCACCGGCAGGGGAGGCCACTCTGAAACAGACAGGCCAAGGTCAGGAGGAAGGGCAAGGGCCGGGAAAGTGGAGGCAGAAGCTTGGGAGGTGAGGCCTCCTGTCCCCAGGCCAGCATCCACCTAGCCAGCATGCACTGGCTCTTCCTGGAAGACAAATCTGATCATTGTAATCTTCAAAGGGCTCCTCACCACTCTTATGACCAAGGTCAAAAACACGCTGGGTGGCCCACAAAGCCCTTTGTGGTCCGATTCCTGCTGAATGGACTCTTTTTTGGAGCCATGGCAAGCTTTCAGTGGGGCCTTAGAATTACAAACCTCTTTGTTCAGGCCAGGTGCAATGGCTCACACCTGTAATCCCAGCACTTTGGGAGGCCGAGGCAGGCGCATCGTGAGGTCAGGAGATCGAGACCATCCTGGCTAACACGGTGAAACCCTGTCTCTACTAAAAATACAAAAAATTAGCCGGGTGTGGTGGCAGGTGCCTGTAGTCCCAGCTACTTGGGCGGCTGAGGCAGGAGAATGCTGTGAACCCAGGAGGCAGAGCTTGCAGTGAGCCAAAATCGTGCCACTGCACTCTAGCCTGGGCAACAGAGCGAGACTCTGTCTTAAAAAACAAAACAAACAAAAAAACCTCTTCTTTCTGCCTGAAATAACCTCTCTCTCTTGTACTTAGCTTAATTTAAAGCATATTCAGCCTTCCCTGATCCTCTCCTGCTTTCCTGCTGTGACCTTGGCCAAATTCATTAACCTCTCTGAGCCTCACCTATAAGATGGAGATAACATTCCTACTGTTTTTATTTATTTAGAGACAGGGTCTTGCTCTGTTGCGCAGGCTGGAGTGCAGTAGCACGATCATGACTCACTGCAGCCTTCATCTCCTGGGCTCAAGGAATCCTCCCACCTTGGCCTCCCAAGTATTTGGTACTATAGGCGTATGCCACCACACCCAGATAATTTTTTGTAGAGATGGAAGTTTGCTATGTTTCCCAGGCTGGTCTTGAACTGCTGAGCTCAAGTGATCCTCCTGCCTTGGCCTCCCAAAGATTTGGGATTACAGGCATGAGCCACTGTACAGGCCAGTTACTACTATTACATCCCTCATGGGGTCGCTGTGGAGACAAAATGAGTTGTGCTTAGGACAATGCTGGCCCTCGGTAGGCGCTGCTGTCATCGCCATCACTACTTTTAGCCTAGCACTGACCAGTGGGGTGACTGCTGTTTGTTCATTGGCTTCTCCCCACTGGACAAGCAGCTCCAAGATTCTAGGGTCCCAGAACTGCACCTGATCTGGTCTCATGCCCCCAATGCCTGGCACATCAGAGCCAGGAAAAGCCAGTGTTCACTCAGTGAGGGGAGCGGTTCCTTAAACACCCTCCTGAAGCAGCTTCCCCAGAGCAGCAGGGACTGCCCTGTAGGGCCCAGACATTTAGGGTTTACGTCAGACAGGTATGGTGTAAGAAGGACTGACGGTGACTTGGGACCAAGGTACTCTCACAGTACTTTTTCCTTCCTGGGTTTTATCTTCTTGTATATTTAACAATCATTTACAGAGCATCTATAACATCCCAACATTGACCTGGGAGCTAACACTGTAATGAAGAATGACCTAGAACTCTTGTCCTGCATGAGCTCAGTCTGATTGAGAAAAAAAGAAATGTGCACAAGTACAGTGAAGTGAAGGGAGACAAGGTCTCATTCTCCCTGGGAGAGGCTGTAGTTGGGAAGACCTGGGGGATTCGTGGAGTTGCCTCAGAGCTGGCCCTCAGAAGCAGCGTGGGCTCTAGGGACTGAGGAGGGTGTGGCAGACCACGGCAAAAGCAAGGTCACAGAGATGGGACAGCTGAGACAGGCCATGCATACTGCATGCATCCTGACCATAGGGACAGCACTGGGCTATGGACCACATGCATCCCACAGGCATGGAGGAACTGGGGCCTGCAGGTGGCTGACAGCTAAGAAAGCTCATGAGGGCAGTGAGACGCTCTCCTCAACCCATGCTGCATGGCCCCTGTGTTCCGGGACCTTCTCAGCTCTCTAACGCCTTCACCCTCACCTCCCTAAAGTGGGGCTGGCCAGAGTCAAACACCTCCCAAGCTCCGCACATCCAGCTCCACAGGTGCTGCCGCCACAGGGCACCCAGGCCTCACCTCCCACCTTTTTGCCCCTCCGTCTCTGCTGGGATACCTGTTCCCAGGCCCAGCATCCCCTGATGCAGCTGACACCTGCCCCAATGGTGGCACTTCTTTTGGAAGAAGCTGGCTATTCTAACTGTTCCTCCACTTCTGTTTCCATAAAGCTCCTCCTCAGGAGGCCAGATGACACGGGAAGGGACAAGCCTCAGCTCTCCAGCCCCCAAGCGCACGGCACCCCAACTGCAGCCTCACATTGCACTTACCATGCCCGCCGCAGGAGGACACCTCTCCACCAATGAGGACACAGAGGACTGGGTAAAGCGGCAGCTTGTGCAAGGTCACCTAGCTAGCAAGTGGTCAAGCCAGGACTCAACCCAGGGCCTCTGACACACGCTAGGCTAGCACTTTCTCCAGGCAGAACTGTGCTCTGCTTTTCGGTCTGGGCTTGTGACTGCTGCTTAGTAAGCAATAGGATGACCCCTGGTGTTCACTTAAAATGACAGCAGGGCCGGGCTCACGCCTATAATCCCAGTACTTCGGAAGGCTGAGGTGGGCCGATCATTTGAGACCAGCCTGGCCAACATGGTGAAACCCTGTCTCTACTAAAGATACAAAAATTAGCCTGGCATGATGGCGCACGCCTATAATCCCAGCTACTGGAGAGGCTGAGGCACGAGAATAACCTGAGCCTAGGAAGCAGAGGCTGCAGTGGGCTGAGATCACATCACTGCACTCCAGCCTGGGCAACAGAGCAAGACTCTGTCTCCAACAACAACAACAACAAAAAACACACAAAACAAAAAAACCCGCAAATGACAGGATACCAGCTTGGTTGTTTAGCCATCTCTTATCCCCACAGATGGCTGACCCAACTACAAGCATTTCCAGGCAGAGTGAAAAAAATCAAGGGCCAGCAAGACTGGTGTTCGGAGGTGAGAGTCCTGAAAGAGAGTCCATCATGTGAGCAGTGGGCCTGAGTGAGGAGGCACACTTCTGGGCCGTGGTGCTCAGAGTGCAGAGCCTCTGCAGCGCAACACCTCCGAGGATAGGAAGGTCACAACCACCGAAGACATCTCTCCTGCTCGTGATTTTTAAAGCTGGGCCTCAGGTAGGCCCCAGTCTGCCTGCCTGTGTCGGTGCCGGTTCCACCCTCTGAGTGCTTCTCAGGGCCAAGCACTGCACTGTGCTGTGTTTTTTTGGACATGCACTAAACGTGGACCCTTCCGATGGCTCTCAGGTGGGCCCCGGGAGCCCTTCAGAGGTGTTCAACATGATTGGGTGACTGAATGAGATGGTTGGTCCGAATCCAGACAGCGAGTGGTGGCACACCAGGACTTGACCCAGACCACCCACTGCTCCCGCTAACTGCCACAGCCCACAACAGTTTCATCTTATCATACCCTCAGGTGGCGTCTACTGCTCACCTCCCCCAGGAATTCTTTGGGTGAGCTGTAGCCCATCCCATTCCCGTTTGGCCCCGCAGGGGACCCTCCAGGGTGCAGGGCTCCCCACACCTGCCCGCTGCACCTCATGCCTGTGTAGGATGCTGGAGGCAGATGCTCCCAGCACCCAACATCTGCACGTGCTCTGAAGGTTGAAAGAGCACTTACAGGGACAGCAGCCTAACCCTTTCCCCCGGAGTCATCTGTCCCTTCTGATGGGCCTTTTGCTTTTATAGAGAGATGCTCCCTGCAGTCGGGCTGGCAATGGCGACAGATAAATTCCATGTCTTACCTCACACCAACCGAATCAGAACCTCGAGGGCTTGTGACTCAGGAATCCATGATTTTAAAAACTTTCCGGCCAGGCACGGTGGCTCACACCTGTAATCCCAGCACTTTGGGAGGCTGAGGTGGGCAGACCACCTAAGGTCAGGAGTTCCAGACCAGCCTGGCCAACATGGTGAAACCCTGTCTCTACTAAAAATAGAAAAGTTAGCCGGGTGTGGTGGCAGGCGCCTGTAATCCCAGCTACTCAGGACAGTGAGGCAAGAGAATTGCTTGAACCCGGGAGGCGGAGATTGCAGTGAGCCAAGATCGCGCCATTGCACTCCAGCCTGGGGTACAAGAGCGAGACTTCGTTGCAAAAAAATAAAAATAAAAATAAAAACTTTCCCTAATAATGCTGACACAGCTCGGGGACAGATGGGGATTGGCAACCACCTAGGAACTGCAACCCCCTCACATGACAGACAAGGAAATAGAAACCAGAGAGGGGGATGACTTGCCAAAAGTAACACAGTGGTAGGAACTGGGCCCTGTCTAGAAGCCAGGCTTCCTGATTCTGGCTCCACCACACCAATATACCTCATCCCTATCTGGCCAAGGCCCTTCCCCACCACCTGGAACCAGTTACCTCTGCAAGCCAATAAGCTTCCACTTCTGAAAATCCATAATGTGCAAAGGGGAGGAGGCCCAATGTTTCACGGGCTTAGCGTAGCAGCCATAGCTGGGGACAAAGATAGCCAGTGCAGTCACGAGTTTCCTGACTATGGCCTCATCTTCCCCCAGGACCACAAGTGTCCTCCCACTGAGCAGGGAGTAGATGGCTGGGTGGGCAAAGGGGTACTGGCGGATGAATTTTAAGGCGTTCTGGCCAGCCCTCTTTTTATGCCTATCGGAAGACAGGCCAGCAGGATAAGCAGAGGGGATCCTGTCTGAGCTGGTGGACGCTACACTGCTCACGTAGCTGGTGGTGTCTGAGTAGTTGTCCAGGCTGGTCTTACTGATGTCCCGGCTAGCCAGCAGGTGGCTCGGGTCCAGCTCATAAGCGGGAAACCCTTCACAACTGTTGTCTCGGGAAGAAGGGTTGGCATTTTCCACTGAAAAGTCTACACGGAACCCCTGGTCCTTCTGCCTGTGGCGCTGTGGGGGGCTGCTCACCACCCCATCCTCGTCAGAGTGTGTGTGGGCTGGAGTGGAGGGCAGCACCAACTGACCATCGCTCTCCTTCCCAATACAGCAGGAGGAGTCTATTTGTGATGGGGTGTTTTCTATGCTGCCTTCCTCTGTCTCACCCAGTTCTGGAGGACTGATGCTTGCCTGGAAGCGGATGGCTCCTTCATTGCCATCTGGATATGATTCTTCTTCATTAATGGCACTTGGGTAGCTGGCCTTAAAGTCATCAGGGATGAGGGCCTCAGAGGGGCAGGTACTGAGGACTTCAATACTGTCCTCGCTGATGGTCCTGTGGCTGACTGCTTTGCTCCGGACCACCTGGGGGCTCAATGGTACTGTGAGGCTTGCCTGGCTGTCAGATTTAGAAAGCACGGAGGTGGATTTCTCCGTGCCCAAAACTTCAATACTTTCACCACTGCTGATACTCCCTTTCATATCCATATCCAGGTAGTCCAAGTTTTCCTGGGGGTCGAAACTGCTCAACTCAGTCACTTCCACTTCCTTGTACTCCTCATCTCCCAGTTCCTGCTCCATCTTGATCAACACAGACTCCACACTGGACTTGTAAGAACCAACACTAATTAACACTTTAGGAATTGGGCATTCTTCTAGAGAACTGGAAGGCGGCCTGTCTTGACTGGGCTTAGAGGGTATGCTTTCTTGTTTCTCCACCATCCTGTCATCGACCTCCACAAAGTCTTCAAAGAGAAAGTTTGTTATATGCTGTTGTTTTAGAAGTGCTCTATCAATCTGACTGGTCAGGAGGTAACACAGGTCTCCTCTGAACATGTGTTCAATGTGGCTGAGCTGAGCCAGGGTCTGGGTGAAATATTCAGTGTCACAGAGCTCCTCCAAGGTCTTCAACTTCTTGTCAAAACACTTGGTGGACTTTGCTTTGATAAGTTTTGGGGTGTAGGCTGGTCTGCAGGTGTAAAGGTCTGTGTCGGCAGACTCATCAGGGTTAGAGGTAGTGGATGCCTGGCTGGCCTGATCCTGGATGTGCTCCATCTCACCAGGACACAAATCATGCCCCTTCAACTTCCGATGAGGGTATGAGCGGATCTGCTTCAGCAGGTCTTGATGTTCAATGATGGACTTCTCCACACTGGCCAGTTCATTGGCTTTCTCAATTGCCTGAGATGAGTAAAAGCCTTTGTCGTTGGCTTTCTTCTGGATCTCCGTTTCTGTGTGTAGCACTGTCCTGGTGTAATCCAAGTCTTTCAGCTTTTTTTCAAGTTCCCCAGCAAATGCCTTCCTGTTGCCAGTCTTCAAGCACTCAGAAGCTCTGGAAAATTCGGCTGAAAGCTCCTGGAACTGCTGCATGATTTTATGCTGGTCTGCAGAGATATAAGCCATGCAAAACGGCCTCACGAAGCCACGGGCCTCCAGGTCGTATAGGGTAAGGTGGTGCACGTATGCAAAGGCGCCCTCCTTAGAATCTCCCAGCACCACCTTGGAGTCCTCCACGAAGTTCAGCTTGGGGTAGGCAGATCCAGGAGGATGGCCCACGAAGGAAGCCTGGTAATCCACAGACATGATACGCAGGGAGAAGTAATTGAGATCAAAAGTGCCAAAAACTTTGGTGTCATTGGGGATGGTCAGTAAGGGTTGGGGTCCCACCTGCTCAGAGAACTCGGAAATAAGAATGAAGTCCCTCGAAAACTTGGCCCCGGACAGTTTTGACCAGGGGTTAGCACCCTGACTGGCGAAGGGGAAGAGCGGCACCGAGTACTCCTCAGGCAGGGCCGGCTCATTGTAAGGCTCTTCTTCATACTCTTCCTCTTTGGTGAAGGCCACTACGTCAGGGGCGCTGATCATATTTCCAGATATATGAAGAAAACATTGAGAGGAAGTGGGAAAGAATGCGGTGTTAATCGACGCGCAGAAGGCAGGCCTCCGGAGAAGGAAGTGAAGCCCTTACGGCCTTCTTTGCGACTCCCCGAACCCGGGGTCCTAGGCTGCTTCTCACACACCCGAGGAGAAGAACTCTAGCAGCCCCCTCACAGTTGTAGCTCCTCCGGAGCTCTCTGAGGCCTCATGAACGCCAAGGCCGCAGGCCCAACTGCCCTTCTCTTCTTCGTCCGGCGAGCGCGGCCAGCACAAGAAACCTGCTGCGAAATCACCTGCACTCTCCGGAACCCACTGCGACAGCAAAAGCCCCCGCTCTGAACAAGGCTTAACGCGAGGCTACGGGACGCCGCAGGGGTCAGCCAAGCGCTGCTGCCCCTCACTGCCCGAGGGCAGAAACCGTCGCGGCTCCTAGGACGCCACAACCCGGATCCTGCTACCGCGGCGCCGCCATCTTGACATCACATGACTCCTGGTGTCCGCGCCGCGTGACCCGGAAGCGTCCTCGTAGACTTCCGAGCAGGAGATTAAAAAGTCATGAGAAAGAGGCCTTGGATGGGAGTGTCTGGCGGCTCCCCGCAAGAAGGAGTCCGATTAACCAACCACTGCCGGGAAGGAGGGGAAAGAGGGGCGGAGTGAGACGGGGGCGGCGGGAAGGTGGCAGAGGGGAACGTGCTTGGACGAGGGGCGCGGGACAGTCTGGGAGTTGTAGTTCCAGGTCGCTGTGGGGCGCGCGCCTGGCGGAAGTAGCTGGAGAAGGCGGGCGGAAGTTCCACGCCAAGATACTGGATTCGGTGCTGAGGCGGCGGCTGCGGCACGGGAAAGGCTCAGTGACTGAAGCTCCAAAGGCCAGCAGGCTGGTGGGGACGTGACCGAAGCGAGGCTCTGGTTCCCTTTCGGTGGGCGCCATTTGAGCCTCATCTCTGGCTTCCCCAGGATGCGCCGGCAGCCGGGGAGCGGCTCCGGGCGCGAGGTCTGAGGATGATCTTTCCTGTCGCCCGCTACGCGCTCCGGTGGCTGCGACGGCCCGAAGACCGTGCCTTTTCCCGCGCCGCCATGGAGATGGCCCTCCGAGGCGTGCGGAAAGTCCTCTGTGTGGCCGAAAAAAACGACGCGGCCAAGGGGATCGCCGACCTGCTGTCAAACGGTCGCATGAGGCGGGTAAGAAAGCGCGTTCCGATCAGCTGCGTGCCTTAAGGGAGGCCCACCGAGCGGGACAGCGTGGTGGGCGCCAAGAATCGAGATGAAGGCGATTATCTCCCATTTCTCAGGCCTCACTGCCCCTCGTCTGGATTATTGCAGTGGCCTCCTGTCTGCTCTCGGACTGGAGTGCATTTTAAAACGTAGTTGATACATCTCACTCATTTGCGTGGAAACCTTTTGTTTTGCTTGCGCTTAGCAGGTTCCCAAACTTGTCTGATTCTCGGAATCGCCTCGGGCGCTGGCTGCCCTTCGGGTCTTGTGTGAGGCTGGGGAAGTGTGTATTTTACTGTTTTTCCCTAGAGATTCAGAAATTCATTTGGGAACTACTGACCAGATTCCCTTAACTTGGCATTCAAGCCCTGCCCGATCGTTCCCCAGCCAACCTAGCCCTCCCCATCCTGTGCCACAGCCACTGCATTCTACAGCCCTTGTGACTTTCCAGCCTCACAGTGCACACTTACAGCAACACGGTAAGGTTTGGGGATTAGATTTGAAGTCAGCCCTGTTCCTACCCGAATGAACTGATTCTGAGAGAGGTAAGTGGTAAGAATGTGTTCTACACACACGGGAGGCACAAACGCAAGGGAGGATAAGAAAAAGTTTCATAAAGGAGGTGCCACGGGAGACATAAAGAGCTGTCCAGGAAAATATCTCAGATAACAAAAGTAGATCCTGAAATGGTTTTCTGGAGAACTTTTCTAAGAGCATGGGTGGAAGTTCCCTGCTCATTTTTCTTTAGTTCCCAGGGTCCTAAGACCTGTTTCCAGATCAAGGATAGTGGGAGTGGAGCCAGGGTTGTGTGAATGCTGGCTGACAGCTTTACCTGTTTCCAGTGCTAGAAGTCCTGGTGACCAGCCCCAAGGTTTGTCTACTTCTAGACAATGAAGTAGACATTGAAAAATGGTTCTCCTACGCCTAACTTCTTATCCTTCAAGGCTCTGCTGAATTCATTCTCTCTCTCTCCCTTTTTTTTTTTTTTTTTTAAGCAATCCAGAGGTCTTGTATTTATCTATTTTTACCCTATCATACCATGAATCCATAGGGAATAGGTTCCAGCGGCTCAGGCTCTTTTCCATTGGTTCTCACAAAGTGTACTTCCCTCAATGGAACAGGCTGGCACTTCAGGTGAACCCTTTCTCTTTGACTTGCTTCTTTTTTGATCATTTTCCTTCACACATTTCAGGAAAGATCTTGGTTCTTAGAGTGCTTAATATGCTCAATAGAAACATTAATTCTTTGGGCAAGAATCTAGCCCTTGTTCGCAGCAGTGCCAACAGCATGCTGGGTAACATAGACTTTTCCAGTTCTGCCATGTAACATTTGTGGGTCATTCCCTTTTGAACAGTATGCATTCTCACGAAGTCCTCAATATCACCTTCATTGTAGATTCTGGTGTCTGTGGCCAGAGAAACTCCATATTTTTGTTTTGTTTTGTTTGTTTGTTTTGAGATGGAGCTTTGCTCTTGTTGCCCAGCCTGGAGTGCAATGGTGTGATCTCAGCTCACTGCAACCTCCGCCTCCCGGGTTCAAGCGATTCTCCTGCCTCAGCCTCCCTAGTAGCTGGGATTACAGGTGCCTGTCACCATGCCCAGCTAATTTTTTGTATTTTTAGTAGTTTCACTGTGTTGGCCAGGATGGTCTTGAACTCCTGACTTCAGGTGAGCCACCCGCCTTAGCCTCCCAAAGTGTTAGGGTTACAGGCGTGAGCCACCGTGCCCAGCTCGAACTCCATGTTTTCTATAAGGCCAGGAGAACATACATCAGATGCCTCGTCCTCTTTTCCTTTGTGTTCGTCATTTTGGCAAATTACTCCAAGATGGCAGTTCCAGCCAAAAGGAAAGACTTTTCTTGGAAAGAGAATTTTTATTTTTATGTACAGAAAACACAACAGTGTGTACTTAACCCAGTTTAGTGGCAAATTCTTTAGCCTTTGCCTTTTCTAGGTTGGTAATGCAAGCTACAGATTTTGGACCCAGGGCATTGCCTCCCCAGTGACAGCAGATCTCATATGTCGTTGTAATTTGTCCCACCAGCTTAGCCAGAGCTCCTTTGTCTACCAGAAAGTTAACCTTTGTGAAGGTGACAGTGGTGCAGGTCTTCCTGTGGAATTTGACACCACAGTCTTGACGGTGCAGTAGAGAATCCCCATCTTAGGACACAGCACAGGCAGGAAGACAACCAGCTCAATGGGATCCACCACCAGCTGACCCTTCATGCTCTCTACCAAGTTGGTGACGGTGTCAACCCCTGCTCGAAGTGTAGGTGGTCTCTTAGTAGCGACATCCCCTTTGCTGGAAGCTTTCTTCTCAGCCTGGGCCAACGGTTTCGATCTCATCCCTTGCTCTGTCTCTTGTCTGTACTGTGGGCCAGCTTAAGCAATTGAGTAGCTTAAGTTTGGTAGTCTGAGGCCTGGGTGAACTGGTCAATCCCAGGTGGCACATCAGCCACTTATAGAGTACAGCGGCTCTGCCGCAGCAGCCATTTATAGCGGGACTATTTGACAAAGTGGGTGAGGCCCTTAGGCTAGATATCCAATGCCAAAATTATTAGGGCTTTTCTCAAATGGGATTTACCACCTTTTTGGCCTACTGCTGCTCCATGACAACAGGGGCCAGGGCCACTTCTTCCCCTTGGCCATCTTTCCTTTTGGCATCTGGGGCGGCTAGAGGAGAGAGGCTGCTGAAATGTCTCATCTTCAAGGAATCCTTCCCTCACCACCTGTTCCCCCACACTAGGTCAGAGACCCTTACTGACATGCTGTCATAGCACTCTATTCTACTTGAAAGGCATCTACTAGTTACAGTTAAATAATGGGATGTGCGATCATTTATTTGATTTTTGTCACTGCCTCTCCTTGGACTCTAAACTCCAAAGGACAGTGATTATATTTTGTTAATTGCTATGTCCTAACGCCTAATATGGTGTCTGGAATGCAGGAAACTTTCAATAAATATTAATACTTGGGCTGAGCGCAGCGGCTCATGCCTGTAATCCCAGCAGTTGGGGAGGCTCAAGCGGGCAGACCACCTGAGGTCGTGAGTTCAAGACCAGCCTGGCCAACATGGCAAAACCCCATCTCTACTAAAAATACAAAAATTAGCCAGGTGTGGTGGCGGGGTCCTGTAATCCCAGCTACTCACGAGGCTGAGGCAGGAGAATCGCTTCAACCCGGGAAGTGGAGCTTGCAGTGAGCCTAGATTGCGCCATTACATTACAGCCTGGGCGACAGAGTGAGACTCCATCTCAAAAAAAAATTAGGCCAGGCATGGTGGCTCATACCTGTAATCCCAGCACTCTGGGAGGCTGAGGTGGGCGGATCATGAGGTCAAGAGATTGAGACCATCCTGGCTAACACGGTGAAACCCTGTCTCTACTAAAAATACAAAAAATTAGCCGGGCATGCTGGCAGACGCCTGTAGTCCCAGCTACTCGGGAGGCTGAGGCAGCAGAATGGCATGAACCCGGGAGGTGGAGCTTGCAGTGAGCCGAGATTGTGCCACTGCACTCCAGCCTGGGCAACAGAGTGAGACTCTGTCTCAAAAAAAAAAAAAAAAATTCATAGTTGTTGAATGCATGTTTGAGCTGAGCCTGAAAGTTTTACCAGGCAGTAGAAACTGTAAAGAACAACCTAGTGGCTTGAAACTGCTTGGCATATTCAGAAACAGTGAGAAGTTAGGGGTGTGGTGTGGTGGGAAGAGACACCGATGAGTTAAGCAAGAGCAGCAGTTGAGTGCAGATCATAAGAATCTTAGAGAGCCATGTAGGTTGAGTGGTAAAATGCACAGAAAATTGACCATTTTAATCATTTTGAAGTATATAGTTCAGTGGAATTTTGTCCACTAAATGTGCCACCATCATCATTATCTAGTTCCAGAAGGTTTTTTTTCACCCCAAGAGGAAGCCTCATATCCATTAAGCAGTCACTCCCCTTACCCTCTCCTCAGCCCCTCACAACCACGAATCTGCCTTCTTTCCCCATGGATTTGCCTGTTCTGGGCATTTCCTATAAGTGGACCCATATCTTACATGCTCTTTTGTGTCAGGTTTCTTTCACTTAACATAATCTTGAAGTCCATCCATGTTGTACCATGTATTAATATCAGTTCTTCATTCCTTTTTTTTGGTTTTTGAGAAGGAGTCTCTCTCACTGTCGCTCAGGCTGGAGTGCAGTGATGAGATCTCGGCTCATTGTAACCACCGCCTCCCAGGTTCAAGCGATTCTCCTGCCTCAGCCTCCCAAGTAGCTGGGATTACAGGCACCCACCACCACGCCCAGCTAATTTTTTGTATTTTTAGTAGAGACAGGGTTTCACTATGTTGGCCAGGCTGGTCTCAAACTCCTGACCTCATGATCCGCCCACCTCAGCCTCCCAAAGTGCTGGAATTACAGGCATGAGCCATTGCACCTGGCCTCTTCATTCCTTTTTATGGCTGAATAATATTCTATCATATGGATAGATCATATTTCATTTTACCATACATCAGTTGATGGACATTTGGGTTGTTTTCATCTTTTGACTATTGTGAATAGAACTTCTATAGACATTCGCTGGGCGTGGTGGCTCACACCTGTAATCCCAGCACTTTGGGAGGCCGAGGCAGGTGGATCACGAGGTCAGGAGATTGAGAACATTCTGGCTAACACGGTGAAACCCCATCTCTACTAAAAATACAAAAAAATTAGCCGGGCGTGGTGGCAGGTGCCTGTAGTCCCAGCTACTCGGGAGGCTGAGGCAGGAGAATGGTGTGAACCCGGGAGGTGGAGCTTGCAGTGAGCCGAGATCACGCCACTGGACTCCAGCCTGGGCGACAGAGCCAGACTCCATCTCAAAAAAAAAAAAAAAAAAGAACTTCTATAGACTTTCATGTACAAGTTTTTGTTTGAATGTGTTTTTTTGTTTGTTTTTTGTTTTTTGAGACAGTCTCGCTCTGTCACCCAGGCTAGAGTGCAGTGGCGCCATCTCCACTCACTGCAACGTCCACCTCCTGGGCTCAAGTGATTCTCCTGCCTCAGCCTCCCCAAGTAACTGGGATTACAGGCACACACCACCACACCTGGCCAATTGTTGTATTTTTAGTAGAGATGGGGTTTCACCATGTTGGCCAGGCTGGTCTCGGACTCCTGACCTAAAGTGATCCAACTGTCTCAGCCTCCCAAAGTGTATTTGAATGCGTTTTTAATTCTTTTGGGTAAATTTGTAGGAGTGGAATTGCTGTGACATGTGATAACTCTGTAACTTTTTGAGGAAACACCAACATTTTCCAGAGTGGCCAAAGCATTTTACATTTCCACTGACAATGTCCAATTTCTCCACATCCTCAACAACACTTGTTATTTTACTTGTTTTTTTTATTATTCTATTTAATTATTATCCTAATGGGTATGGAGTGGTACCTCATCATGGTTTTGATTTGTGTTTTCCTAATGATTAATAACATTGAGCATCTTTTCATATGCTTGTTGGCCATTTCTTATCTTCTTTGGAGCAATGTTGGTTATATTTTTGGTATCATAACCAAGAAATCATTGCCAAATTCAGGATCAGAAAGAATTATACAAAGGAATCCATTGTTTTAAACGTAATTTATATTTTTTACTTATTTTTGTTTTATAGAGAGAAGGACTTTCAAAATTCAACAAGATCTATGAATTTGATTATCATCTGTATGGCCAGGTAGGTGCTAAAATATTTCTAAAATATTTCAATCATAAGCAAGAGAAAGTAGTCAGCCTCGTCATATGTAGAATATGTCGCTGTCTTAAGAATAACAACTGTTAACAACCTAAAGGTTCCTGGATATGGGGTGATCACTTTATAATTTATGAGGAGTTCTCTTTTTAATAAAATATGGTCCCATCTCAGCTCTTCATTACAAAAAAAAAAAGCTAATATACAATAGTTTGAGGAAAATTTAACTGATGCAAGAGGCGTCAGTTATACACCATATCATTAGAATGGTGATTGTATTCCTGTGACTTTTGGCTTTGAAGAGCTTATATTTATGTTTATTTCTTCCCAATCAGGTTTTTAAAAATGTCTTTAATAGAAGCTCCTCCCTCTCATTTTAATGATTTGGCAGAATAATAACTGCAAAAAGACTAACTGAATTTTGAATTTTGTCATCATTCAGAATGTTACCATGGTAATGACTTCAGTTTCTGGACATTTACTGGCTCATGATTTCCAGATGCAGTTTCGAAAATGGTCAGTACAATTCTCAAGGGAAGGACTTTCAGATTATAGTAAGTTGTGAAATTTCACAGGAATTTTGAGGCATGTTGATCTTACTGGGTAATTTTTTTTTTTTTTTTTTTTTTTTTTTTTTTTTTTTGTTGGAGACAAAGTTTCAGAGTGAGACTCTGTCTCCCAGGCTGGAGTGCAGTGGTGTGATCTCGGCTCACAGCAACCTCTGCCTCCTGGGTTCGAGTGATTCTCCTGCCTCACCCTCCCGAGTAGCTGGGACTATAGGCACGTGCCACCACACCTGGCTAGTTTTTGTATTTTTAGTAGAGACAGGGTTTCACCATGTTGACCAGGCTGGTCTCGAACTCCTGACCTCAGGTGGTCTGCCCACCTCAGCCTCCTGAAGTGCTGGGATTACAGACCGTGAGCCACCATGCCCGGTTTTTTTTTTTTTTTTTTTTTGAGTCAGGGTCTCGCTGCGTTACCCAGGCTGGAGTGCAGTGGCGCAATCTCGTCTCACTGCAACCTCCGCCTCCTGGGTTCAAGCGATTCTCATGCCTCAGTTTCCCAAGTAACTGGCCTTACAGCCATGTGCCACTACACCCAGCTAATTTTTTCTATTTTAGTAGAGATGGAGTTTCACCCTGTTGCCCAGGCTGGTCTTAAACAAAGCAGGGTTTGCCTTCTTTTGCCTCCCAAAGTGCTAGGATTACAGGCGTGAGCCACTGTGCCTTGGTAATTTATTTATTTATTTATTTATTTTATTTATTTTTTGAGACGGAGTTTTATTCTGTCGCCTAGGCTGGAGTGCAGTGGCACAATCTTGACTCATTGTAACCTCCACCTCCCGGGTTCAAGCGATTCTCCTGCCTCAGACTCCCGAGTAGCTGGGACTACAGGTGCCTGCCACCACGCTTGGCTAATTTTTCGTATTTTTAGTAGAGACGGGGTTTCACCGTGTTAGCCAGGCTAGTCTCGATCTCCTGACCTCGTGATCCACCCACCTTGGCCTCCCAACGTGCTGGGATTACAGGCGTGAGCTACCACGCCCAGCAGTAATTTATAATACTAAGATGACCTAGGATTATCTGATCCATTGTGAATTTTTATTAAATCTTTAAACAGTCACTTTTGGTGTTCCTCAAAATTGCCAGACCTTTTTCATGCAGCCATTGGATTGCATTTACCTGTGAAAGGGCTCCAGAATGCCATCTTATCAGTCCTGTTCACACTCTTGGAGAAGTGGACAGTGTGTCATGCAGAGGGTCATAGCCTTACTTTCAATTCACCGGGACCTTTTCTTTTGGGGATACACCATGAACCCATTGGAACAGTTTGCTGTCATTAGATTGGAGGGCTCTCTGTCATGTACTGAGTTGGGACTCTGTTTTCATTTCTTTTCTAGGCAGAGCTGCAACCCTCTTGTCCTCTTTGAAGCAGAAATTGAAAAGTACTGCCCAGAGAATTTTGTAGACATCAAGGTAGGGTCTTTTGGAAGACATATGGCACTGAGTCAAACCACAGAGTCAAACAGAGTGATTTCTTTGTTTTTAATGCATTGGCATTTGGAGATAAGGTTTTCCACCAAAGTCACTACCATGATTTAAAAAGCTGGTTCCCACCCATTGTATAAATGTGGCTAAGTGGCCAAGGGACTGAAGTAAACTTTTTTTATGAATGGTAGTTGTTTAAATCCTAGGAATAAAGGCTGGACATGGTGGTTTATGCCTGTAATCCCAGCAATTTGTGGGGCCAAGGCAGGATCACATGAACTCCAGGAATTTGAGACCAGCCTGGGCAACATAGTGAGACCCTATCTCTCAAAAAAAAAAAAAAATTTAACCAGGCATGGTGATGTATGCCTATAGTCCCAGCTACTAGTAAGGCTGAGGAAGGAGGATTACTTGATCCCAGGAGGCAGGAGGTTGAGGCTGCAGTGAGCCGTAATCACACCACCACACTCCAGCCTGGTGAGAAAGTGAGACCCTATCAAAAAATAATCCTAAGTATTGTAAATTATTAGCGCGTAGCCCCCATCTCACCCCTTGTTAGATGAAAGAGGCTACAAAGTATAAATGCCTGTTTGACAGTAAATTGCCAGTTGTCAAGCAGTCAGGGCATGTATAGTTAATTTATTTTTAATTTTTATTTATTTATTTATTTATTTTTTGAGACGAAGTCTCGCTCTTGTCCCCCAGGCTGGAGTATGATGGTGCAATCTCAGCTCACTGCAACCTCTGCCTCCAGGTTCAAGCGATTCTCTTGCCTTAGCCTCTCAAGTAGCTGAGATTACAGGCGCCTGCCACCACACCCGGCTAATTTGTGCATTTTTAACAGAGATGGGGTTTCACCATGTTGGCCAGGCTGGTCTCGAACTCCTGACCTCACGTGATCCACCCGCCTCAGCCTCCTAAAGTTTTGGGATTACAGGTGTGAGCCACCGAGCCTGGCCAGTTAATTTATTGAGAACTGATAAAACTTTGGATGAAATTCAATTGGGATTCATTTTGTTTTGTTTTGTTTTGTTTTGTTTTGAGATGGAGTCTTGCTCTGTCACCCAGGCTGGACTGCAGTGGTGCGATCTCGACTCACTGCAAGCTGCGCCTCCCGGGTTCATGCCATTCTCCTGCCTCAGCTTCCCGAGTAGCTGGGACTACAGGTGCCTGCCACCATGCCCGGCTAATTTTTTGTATTTTTAGTAGAGACAGGGTTTCACCGTGTTAACCAGGATGGTCTCGATCTCCTGACCTCGTGATCCACCCACCTCGGCCTCCCAAAGTGCTGGGATTACAGGCGTGAGCCACCACGCCCAGCCGGCTTCGTTTTTTTTAACTAGGTCATAATCAGAACCTCTCGAAGTGTGCGTGCGCGCGCGCGCGCGCGCGTGTGTGTGTGTTAGAGCTGAATTTCAGGTTTTGTCATATTGGGGAAGTTATATTAAACCCTCTATTCTAGAAACTCGTTTATGGTTCTAAGGGGTTGTATCATGATTAGCACCAATGAGAGCAGTTTTCTCTGTTCTCTTTCCCTTGCCAAGTTGTCACACTCCAAGAGCAGCATTAACCTTCAGTCAGATCCCCTTAGCTTAGAGATGTCAAGTCACTGTTGTGCAATTCTGTTCTCACCACTCTTATTCCACTGCGAACTTAAGAAAACTTTGGAACGAGAGACTCGCCAGTGCCAGGCTCTGGTGATCTGGACTGACTGTGATAGAGAAGGCGAAAACATCGGGTTTGAGATTATCCACGTGTGTAAGGCTGGTAAGTGCTGCTGCTGCTGCTGACTTTCTCTACTTTGGAACTCCATAAATAGAGTGTTCTTGTTTATATGTGCACATGGGCCACGGATGAGGTCCTCTGCAGGTACTCTCCCTCCCAGTCTGTGAGTCCCACCAGCCATGTGTCCTGGAGCAAATCACTGAGCCATTGGGAGCCTCAACTTCCTTGTCTCTAACATCAGGCCAATCTGACATGTTTCCTGGGACTGCCACAGAGATTAGATGAGTTAATGAGTGGTGTAAACCATTTAGCCCAGGACTCATTTCTTGTTAGGTACAAGCATACAAGCAGATACCCGGCTCCTTGAGAACAGGGACTTTATATTCTTTTTGTTGTTGTTGTTGTTGTTATATATTGAATTCTTTTAGTATTTGGTTAATGGAAGCAAAAATAGAAAAATAAAATTACATATTGAATATGTATAAAAGAATGAATATACCACAAGTAAAGTACAAAAAATAATTATAAAATGTTCTGTTTTCTTTTTTAATCTCTCATATTATACAATGCTCGACTATTAATAAATAATTGTTGCAGTGGATTTAAAGGCTCTAACAGTGTTAATGGTTTTGGGTAACTTAGAGGGAGTGATGAACAGGCCATTCTCTGGCTCAGAGGGTGGGGTTGCTACTTTCCTTTAGTGGTTTTGTGTTCAAAGCTGTAATGACTCCTGGAAATTTAAGTGCATTAACTTTCAAGGACAGTGTGTATATGTCCTATATTCTTTGCTGAAGGGACATGAAATTCCCCTACAGAACCCTTTAATTGACAATATTTTTCTTTTCTCAAAAGGCCTGAGAGAGCAAGTAAGATTAAAGTTGCAAAAGGCAGCCAGGCACGGTGGCTCATGCCTGTAATCCCAGCACTTTGGGAGGCTGAGGCAGGTGGATCTCCTGAGGTCAGGTGTTCAAGACCAGCCTGGTCAACATGGTGAAACCCTGTCTCTACTAAAAATACAAAAATTAGCCAGGTGTGGTGGCGGGCGCCTGTAGTCCCAGCTACTCAGGAGACCAAGGCAGGAGAATTGCTTGAACCCAGGAAGCAGAGGTTGCAGTGAGCCGAGATTGCACCACTGCACTCCAGCCTGGGTGACAGAGTGAGACTGTCTCCAAAAAAAAAATGTTCACCAAGAGCATTTTAGTATTTTAGTTATTGGAGGGGGCCTGCCCCTCCACACCTGTGGGTATTTCTCACAAGGTGGAGACGAGAGACTGAGAAAAGAAAGAAGACACACACAAAGTAAAGGGGAAGAAAAGTGGGCCCAGGGGACCGGCGCTCAGCAAGTGAAGACCTACACCAGTGCTGGTCTCAGTTCCTCAGTATTTATCAATCACTATCTTTACTATCTCAGGGAGGGGAATGCAGTGTGACTATAGGGTGTTGGTGGGGAGAGGGTCAGCAGGAAAACAAACAAAAGACTGTGTCATAAATAAGTTTAAGGGAAGGTGCTGTGCCTGGATGTGCACGTAGGCTAGATTTATGTTTACCTTTACATAAACATCTCAGTGCAGTAAAGAGTAACAGAGCAGTATTGCCGCCGTGATGTCTCGCCTCCAGCCATAAGGTGGTTTTCTCCTATCTCAGAATAGAATATATGGTCGGTTGTACACCGAGTCATTCCATTCCCAGAGACGTGCAGGAGACAGATGCCTTCTTATCTCAACCGCATAGAGGCCTTACTCTTTCACTAATCCTCCTCAGCACTGACCCTTTACGAGTGTCGGGCTGGGGGGCTGTAAGTCTTTCCCTTCCCACGAGGCCATATCTCAGGCTGTCTCAGTCGGGGGAAACCTTGACAATACCCAGGCTTTCTTGGGCAGGGGTCCCTGCGGCCTTCCACAGTGCATTGTGTCTCTGGTTAATAGAGAGTGGAGAATGGCGATGACTTTCACAAAGCGTACTGCCTGCAAACACATTTTTAACAAAGCACATCCTGCACAGGCCTAAATCCTTTAAACCTTGAGTCAATACAGCACATGTTTTTGTGAGCACAGGGTTGGGACAAGTCACAGATTATTAACAGCATCTCAAAGCAGAACAATTTTTCTTAGTACAGATCAAAATGGAGTTTCTTTATGTCTTCCTTTTTCTACTAGACACAGTAACGATCTGATCTCTCTTTTCCCCACAGTTACTAGCTAAAATTAACTCCATCACTATTTCTGACAGTACACTCAGTTTAAAGGTTATGGTGATGTTTCCTCTTTAGACACTGTACACCATTGATTTAACCTAATAGGTAAATTGGTCATCTCACAGCTTCTTGAACTGGTTTGCCTTTATTTCAAGGGGCTTTAAGAAAAGTGAGTCCTTTATGATGGAGGGCAGTGTGATTTGACTTTGACCTTGGTAACACCTTGTGTTCTGCAGTAAAGCCCAATCTGCAGGTGTTGCGAGCCCGATTCTCTGAGATCACACCCCATGCCGTCAGGACAGCTTGTGAAAACCTGACCGAGCCTGATCAGAGGGTGAGCGATGCTGTGGATGTGAGGCAGGAGCTGGACCTGAGGATTGGTGAGGAGCTAGGCAGACCTCTCCCATGGCCACATTAATGTTGTGTTATGGGACCAAAAATGGGCTCTGTGTCGATATGTGCAGCCAGCCCTGGACTCTCATTATCCATCATTTTCACCTTCCTTCACTCTCCTTCACTCTCCAGGAGCTGCCTTTACTAGGTTCCAGACCCTGCGGCTTCAGAGGATTTTTCCTGAGGTGCTGGCAGAGCAGCTCATCAGTTACGGCAGCTGCCAGTTCCCCACACTGGGCTTTGTGGTGGAGCGGTTCAAAGCCATTCAGGCTTTTGTACCAGAAATCTTCCACAGAATTAAAGGTAGGGCCTGGAGTGGGTGTTATGGCCTGGGACCTATGGGCTCAAGGTTAAGGAGGGGGACTGTGAGCATTAATAGCACTAATAAAGATGTGATTTATTTTAGTCTTGCTGTCATCCTCCCTGGCCCATTACAATCCACTTAAAGTTCCCTTTGTTATCCAGAAACTCCTCCCTATTTGATATTCGTTTGACTTTCACCACAATAAACCTTTTTCTATCTGTCATATCATGACATGTCTCTGAGACACAGCCTTTCTGTTTGTCTCTCCTTAATATAGTAACTCATGACCACAAAGATGGTATCGTAGAATTCAACTGGAAAAGGCATCGACTCTTTAACCACACGGCTTGCCTAGTTCTCTATCAGTTGTGTGTGGAGGTAAGAACCCCTAATGATCTAGGAAACATTCTGCACACCTCCCAAACCACTCCCACTGTCGGCAGAGGTGATCTGTCTCATTCTCCCATTGGACTTTAGCTTTAAGTTTGCATCTCAGGGGATCACTTTTTGGGAACCAATAAGACGAACCCCATGAGAACAGCACTAAAAGGAAAAGGGAAGTATCTACATTATTTTTAGATAAAATCAGAAATTTTGGGAAACGTATAGTTGAAATCCCCTCTTGGGGCATATACTATCACCAGAAATTAGCAAGGATTATCTAGACCAGTCCAGGTCATTGACTTATAGAGCTAGGAGAGAATGAACAGCATTTGGCTCAGCCCCCTCTTTATTGGTCACATGAGGACATCTAGAGAAGTGAAAGTCACAAATTAGTGGGCTAATTTTATATAGTGATAAAAGCTAGGAAGAAAATAAAGCAAGGTAAAGGGATAGAGAAAGGCCGGAGGGACAGTGAGGGGAGGGGTAACACTTGAGCAGAGGCTGGAGAGATTAGGGAAAGGGCTGGCGGGGTGGGTGGGACACGCATGTGTCATAGAAGGGAGCAAGACTGGCCCGGGTCATAGGCCAGTTGGTGGCAGAGTTGGGACCCACCCTAATGTTTCCTGGCCCTTGGGCTGATTGTTTACTTTCTGATGCCACTTCCTATTAGCACATAACAGCCTGGTTTAACCCAGGGGCTGCACAGAGTCATGCTTAAGTAAAATTCCGAGCTCTCTAGGCTTAATTCATGGTGTGCTTCTTGGCTGTAGCCCACTGGCAGATTTGTTACTAATTAGGCAAAGGGATGTGATAACTGTGCAGCACCCGCTATGGACCAGGTACACTTCGTTATGTGTTGTTTTGTTTAATCCTAATAATGCCTCTGAAGGCAGTGATAGCATCCACATTTTCCAGATGAGGAAGCTAAAGAAAGTGAAGAGACTTAACCCACAGACACGTGAGAGCTGTACATGGCAGAGTCCTAGTGTGTCCCTGCCCCTTCTGCAGACCATGCTGCCTTCTCCATCTCTCTCTCACTCCACCCTTTGACCCTGGACCACTGGGAGTCTCTGTGACACTGTACAATTATTTGTTAAATAAAAAGACCACCAGCCTGGGTTTCATAGTGAAACCCCATCTTTCTAAAAAAGAAAAATTAGCTGGGCGTGGTGGTACCTGCATATAGTTCCATCTACTTGGGAGGCTGAGGTGGGAGAATCGCTTGAGCCCAGCAGATTGAGGCTGCAGTGAGCCATGATTATGCCACTGCACTTCAGCCTGAGTGACAGAACGAGATACTGCCTCAAAAAAAAAATCAAATAATAATAAAATATAAAAGTAAGTAATAAAAAGACCTGCCCTGTTTCTCCTTCACTCGGATGTGGTGCGGGACTACGTGGTGGGTGATGTAAACTATGAAGCTGGTTTTAAGATTAAAGGTCTCCAACTTGTACAATTTCTCCTATTTCTTTTTTTTTTCTCCCCCGAGACAAAGTCTAGCTCATTTGCCAGGCTGGAGTGCAATGGCACGATCTCAGCTCACTGCAACCTCTACCTCCCGGGTTCAAGCGATTCTCCTGCCTCAGCCTCCCCAGTAGCTGGAACTACAGGCGTGCACCACCACGCCCAGCTAATTTTTGTATTTTTAGTAGAGATGGATTTTCACCATGTTGGCCAGGATGGTCTAGCTCTCGACCTTGTAATCCGCCCGCCTCGGCCTCCCAAAGTGGTGGGATTACAGGCGTGAGCCACTGTGCCCAGCAATTTCTCCTATTTCTAACTGTATTATCCTGAATTTTTTTTTTAAAGGAGCACTGGGCCAAGCATGGTGGCTTATGGGAGTATTGCTTGAGCCCAGGACTTCTGGGCCAGCCTGGGCAACATAGCAAGACCCCATCTCTGTATTTTAAAGAAAACAACAACAGAAAGAGCACTGTGCACGTGTACATAGAAAACTGTACTCAGGTGATGCATAGGCTGTTGGATTTCATAGGCTCTGGTGGAAGCACCTTAAGGCTTGTGAAATTGCCCTTCACAATCTTGGTTTGAGTGGGAAAGTAGTGATGGTGTCTACCATACTGTCAGCTACAAGCGACATTAAGTGGGGCACTCTTCTAGGCTGTCACTGCGGGCTTAGCTGGCGGTGGTCAGTGTGATCTAGAAGGATTGGCATGGGCTATCCATAGGAAGGATGGAGATGATGCACTAACAGGTTAACATGGTCTTTTCTTTCCTGGCTTTCTAGGATCCCATGGCAACTGTGGTAGAGGTCAGATCTAAGCCCAAGAGCAAGTGGCGGCCTCAAGCCTTGGACACTGTGGTATGTTCCAGACAGGCTGTTTCAGGCACTCGGGGAACACTTACTGTTTTGAGGCTGTGGTTCTACCGCCTAGACTGTGGCTTGGTGGAAGAAAATATCACCCATCACCAGGCCACACAAGAAAACACTGGAGAAAGACACGGTCCTGCTTAGCCTCACTGTTTGTTTTTTTGTTTATTTTGTTTTTGTAGACTCAAACTTCTGGGCTCAAGAGATCTTCCCACCTCAGCCTCCCAAGTAGCTGGGACTATAGTCATGTACCACTATGACCAGCTAATTATTTTTAAAATTTTTTGGTAGAGATGGAATCTCACTATGTTGACTAGGCTAGTCTCAAGCTTCTGGCCTCAAGTGATTCTCCAGCCCCAGCCTCCCAAAGTACTGGGATTACAGGCATAAGCCACCACACCCAACCACTGCTTGGCCTGTTATTTTTTATTTTTTATTTTTTGAGATGGAGTTTTGCTCTTTTTTTTTTTTAATTTTAATTTTATTTTTATTTTTTTTAATTGATCATTCTTGGGTGTTTCTCACAGAGGGGGATTTGGCAGGGTCACAGGACAATAGTGGAGGGAAGGTCAGCAGATAAACAAGTGAACAAAGGTCTCTGGTTTTCCTAGGCAGAGGACCCTGCGGCCTTCCGCAGTGTTTGTGTCCCTGGGTACTTGAGATTAGGGAGTGGTGATGACTCTTAAGGAGCATGCTGCCTTCAAGCATCTGTTTAACAAAGCACATCTTGCACTGCCCTTAATTCATTCAACCCTGAGTGGATACAGCACATGTTTCAGATAGCACAGGGTTGGGGGTAAGGTCACAGATCAACAGGATCCCAAGGCAGAAGAATTTTTCTTAGTACAGAACAAAATGAAAAGTCTCCCACGTCTACCTCTTTCTACACAGACACGGCAACCATCCGATTTCTCAATCTTTTCCCCACCCTTCCCCCCTTTCTATTCCACAAAACCTCCATTGTCATCATGGCCCGTTCTCAATGAGCTGTTGGGTACACCTCCCAGACAGGGTGGTGGCCGGGCAGAGGGGATCCTCACTTCCCAGTAGGGGCAGCCGGGCAGAGGCGCCCCTCACCTCCCGGACGGGGCGGCTGGCCGGGCGGGGGGCTGACCCCCCCACCTCCCTCCCGGACGGGGAGGCTGGCCGGGTGGGGGGCTGACCCCCCCACCTCCCTCCCGGATGGGGCGGCTGGCCGGGCGGGGGGCTGACCCTCCCACCTCCCTGCCGGACGAGGTGGCTGCTGGGCAGAGACGCTCCTCACTTCCCAGACGGGGTGGCTGCTGGGCGGAGGGGCTTCTCACTTCTCAGACGGCGCGGCTGCTGGGCGGAGGGGCTCCTCACTTCTCAGACGGGGCGGTTGCCGGGCGGAGGGGCTCCTCACTTCTCAGACGGGGTGGTTGCCAGGCAGAGGGTCTCCTCACCTCTCAGACGGGGCGGCCGGGCAGAGACGCTCCTCACATCCCAGACGGGGCGGCAGGGCAGAGGTGCTCCCCACATCTCAGACGATGGGCGGCCGGGCAGAGACGCTCCTCACTTCCCAGATGGGATGGCGGCCGGGAAGAGGCGCTCCTCACTTCCTAGATGGGATGGCGGCCGGGCAGAGACGCTCCTCACTTTCCAGACTGGGCAGCCAGGCAGAGGGGCTCCTCACATCCCAGACGATGGGCGGCTGGGCAGAGACGCTCCTCACTTCCCAGATGGGGTGGCGGCCGGGCAGAGGCTGCAATCTCGGCACTTTGGGAGGCCAAGGCAGGCTGCTGGGAGGTGAAGGTTGTAGCGAGCCGAGATCACGCCACTGCACTCCAGCCTGGGCACCATTGAGCACGGAGTGAACGAGACTCCGTCTGCAATCCCGGCACCTCAGGATGCCGAGGCTGGCGGATCACTAGCGGTTAGGAGCTGGAGACCAGCCCAGCCAACACAGCGAAACCCCGTCTCCACCAAAAAAATACGAAAACCAGTCAGGTGTGGCGGCGCGCGCCTGCAATCGCAGGCAGTCCGCAGGCTGAGGCAGGAGAATCAGGCAGCAGTACCGTCCAGCTTCAGCTCGGCATCAGAGGGAGACCGTGGAGAGAGGGAGACGGAGACCGTGGGGAGAGGGAGAGGGACAGGGACAGGGACAGGGCGCAGTTTCGCTCTTGTTGCCTAGGCTGGAGTGCAATGGTGCGGTCTCAGCTCACCACAACTTCTGCCTCCCGGGTTCAAGTGATTCTCCTGCCTCAGCCTCCCAAGTAGCTGGGATTATAGGCATGCACCACCATGCCTGGCTAATTTTGTGTTTGTAGTAGAGACAGGGTTTCTCCATGTTGGTCAGGCTGGTCTCGAACTTCTGACCTCAGGTGATCTGCCCACCTCAGCCTCCCAAAGTGCTGGGATTAGAGGCGTGAGCCACCGCGCCTGGCCTTTTTTTTGTTGTTTTTGTTAACAAATGCAATATAACTGCATTGTATGAGGTTTGGGAAACAAAAAGAGGAAGACAACCTATGGCTTCACCATCCTTACATAATTACTAGTATCTCTTCCTGTTTTTTAATATGCATATTTTTACAGCATTATAATTAGAGTAGCTTTTCCACCCAAGCATTTTTTTCATGTTGCTGTATAATCTGTATAAATATTGCTTTAAATAATCTGCTATATGAACCTACTTTAGAACAGGGCTTCTCAAATTATTTGACCCCAGAAAGAGCCACCCTGACAGAACATAAGTCTGAGTAAATCACATTAGGAGTATGCCTTCTCAGTCACCACTTAGCAGGAAAATTTGGGATAGAATTACTATTAGAATTCACTCTGGAGGTTGGACATACAGAACACTCAGGCTAACAAGCATGGAGGCTAAGAAGCACACAGGGACTGGTGGTCAGTGCGTTCTTTTGTCTTGGTCAAGCCACAATAAATGTGTATATGTGTGGAGGGATTGCATGGGGGAAGTTATGCATTTTGTTTGTTTGTTTGTTTGTTTTTTGAGACAGAGTCTTGCTCTGTCGCCAGGCTGGAGTGCAGTGGCGTGATCTTGGTTCACTGCAACCTCCGTCTCCCGGGCTCAAGCGAGTCTCCTGCCTCAGCCTCCTGAGTAGCTGGGACTATAGGTGCGCGCCACCACACCCAGCTAATTTTTGTATTTTTAGTAGAGATGGGGTTTCACCATGTTGGCCAGGGTAGTCTCAATCTATTGAACTTGTGATCCGCCCGCCTCGGCCTCCCAAAGTGCTGGGATTAGAGGCATGACCCACCGTGCCCAGCTGCATTGATTTTATATAGTAGGCATATGTGTTTTAGTCCTCCCTGGTTAAGTGTGCTGTAGTGTGACGTATAGTCATCAGCATTGTTAGCTTGTCACCTAGGGAAAAGAACAGCTCATTATTTTCACCCTCCAGGAGAATTTACTGGGGCTTGGGTGGTATTCCCAAAGTGTGGTTCTCAGACTGTCTGTGTTAAAGCAGTGTATTAGACTGCTTGTTAAAAAATGTAGATTTCGGGCCGGGCGCAGTGGCTCACGCCTGTAATCTCAGCACTTTGGGAGGCTGAGGCGGGCAGATCACGAGGTAGGAGATCGAGACCATCCTGGCTAACATGGTGAAACCCTGTCTCTACTAAAAATAGAAAAAATCAGCCAGGCGTGGTGGCAGGTGCCTGTAGTCCCAGCTACTCGGGAGGCTGAGGCAGGAGAATTGGCGTGAACCCAGGAGGCAGAGCTTACAGTGAGCCGAGATCACGCCACTGCACTCCAGCCTGGATGACAGAGCAAGACTCCATGTGAAAAAAAAAAAAAATGTAGATTTCTGGGCCAGACGCGGTGGCTCACGCCTGTAATCACAGCACTTTGGGAGGCCAAGGCAGGCAGATCACCTGAGGTCAGGAATTTGAGACCAGCCTGGCCAACATGGCAAAACCCCGTCTCTACTGAAAACACAAGAATTAGCCAGCCATGGTGAGCACCTGTAGTCCCAGCTACTCAGGAGGCTGAGGCAGGAGAATCGCATGAACCCAGGAGGCAGAGGTTGCAGTGAGCCGAGATCGTGCCACTGCCCTGCAGTCTGGGCAACAAGAGCGAGACTGTCTCGAAAATAAAAAAATTTTTAAAATGCAGAGTTTTGGCCAGACGTGGTGGCTCACTTCTGTAATCCCAGCACTTTGGGAGGCCGAGGCGGGCAGATCACCTGAGGTCAGGTGTTCGAGACCAGCCAGGCCAGCATGGCAAAACCCCATCTCTACTAAAAATACAAAAATTTGCCAAGCATGGTGGTGATGTAATCTCAGCTACTTGGGAGGCTGAAGCAGGAGAATCACTTGAACCCAGGAAGTGGAGGTTGCAGTGGGCCGAGATCATGCTACTGCACTCCAGCCTAGGCGACAGGGCGAGACTCCGTCTCAAAAAAAAAAATGTGGAGTTTGGGCTGGATATGGTAGCTCACGCTTGTGATCCTAGCATTTTGGGAGGCCAAGGCGGGAGGATTGCTTGAGGCCAGGAGTTCAAGATCAGCCTGCGCAACATAGCACCTTCCCCAGTGGTCAGGGCCCCAAATCTGCTGGCTTCCCAGTTGAGTCCTGCACACATTAAAGTCTGAGAACCACTAGGCTAGGATCTGACTCTGCTTGGCAGGCCCAGAAATCGTTGTTGGGCAGCCTTTTCAGCTCTGTTTGACAGAAGCACCTGGAGTGACACGGGCCAGATTTGACTGAAGATGAGTTGTGTATTTGAGTTGTGCTGCCTGACCCATGCAGTACACCTAACATGCCTGTTGACCCATTTCACAGGAGCTTGAGAAGCTGGCTTCTCGAAAGTTGAGAATAAATGCTAAAGAAACCATGAGGATTGCTGAGAAGCTCTACACTCAAGGGTAAGTATTTTGGGTTTGGGAGTAGAATTTGAACCGTCTTTATCAGGATGAAATATTTGAGAAATAGAGTTTATGGGTTGGGCACGGTGGCTCACACCTGTAATCCCATCACTTTGGGTGGCTGAGGCGGGCAGATCACGAGGTCAAGAGATCAAGACCATCCTGGCCAACATGGTGAAATCCCATCTGTATTAAAAATACAAAAATTAGCTGGACGTGGTGGCGTGCGCCTGTAGTCCCAGCTACTGGGGAGGCTGAGGCAGGAGAACCGTTTGAACCCAGGAGGCGGAGGTTGCAGTGAGGTGAGATCACACCGCTGCACTCCAGCCTGGTGAGTGAGTGAGACTCCATCTCAAAAAAAAAAGGAAAAAGAAAGAAATAAAGAAATAAGAGTTTATGGGGAAAAACTGATTGTCTAGATAGCACCCAAGCTCTGAGGTAGGATTTTGACTTTGACTTCTCTTTTCTGATACAGAAAAGGTGTTTCTATGTAAAAACCCATAGAGTAGATTCAGATCTTACTTTTGACTCCTCAGCCATCTCCCTGTGGCCCTGGCAAGTGGCAGACAGTGGGTGGCACCTTTAAAAGTTGTTTGCCTGTGAAACTCCTCCCCGCCCCAGTCATATACACCCCAGCACTGAGGTCCTCTAACTGTGCTGTCCAGCCTGCAGCTATTGAGCAGTTGAAATTCAAGTTGTCCAAATTGGGATGCGCTATAGATGTAAAATATACATTGGGTTTTGAAGACTTCTATGAAATAGAATGTAATCTCAGTAACTTAAGTGACTAATTGAAAATTTTAAATTATGCTGGGCGTGGTGGCTCACGCCTGTAATCCTAGCACTTTGGGAGGCCGAGGTGGGTGGATCATGAGGTCAGGAGTTCGAGACCAGCCTGGCCAACATGGTGAAACCCCATCTCTACTAAAAATACAAAAATTAGCCAGGTGTGGTGGCAGGCACCTGTAATCCCAGCTACTTAGGAGGCTGAGGCAAGAGAATTGCTTGAACCCGGGAGGCAGAGGTTGTACTGAGCTGAGATCACGCCACTGCACTCCAGCCTGGGTGACACAGCAAGACTCCGTCTCTTGGGGGGAAACAAAAATTACAAATAGAGACTGGGTATGTTGGGTCACACCTGAAATCTGAGCACTTTGGGAGGCCTAGGCAGGAGGATCACTTGAGCTCAGGAGTTCAAGACCGACCTGAGCAACATGACAAAACCCTGTCTCTACAAAAAAAAAAAAAAATTAGCCAGGCATGGTGCCACACACTTGTAGTCCCAGCTATTCAGGAGGCTGAGGCAGGAGGATCACTTTAGCTTGGGAGACGGAGGCCACAGTGAGCCAAGCTTGCGCTGCTACACTCCAGCCTGGGTGCCACAGCAAGACTATCTCAAAAATGAAAAAGAAAAAACAAATAGAGTCCACATTACAGTTTATCGGACAGCATTGTTCTTTGTGTACTCTAAGAAAAGTCTTGAAGCACACGCTGGTGGAACTTGTCAGGGTCAGTGAGTCTCATGTGCTGCATCAGGGCTGGTCTGTCAGACTGACCCTCAGAGTGGCCAGTGACAAGCCCCAGGCTATGAGGCTGCTGGCCTTTTTCCTGTGCTGTGCTGCCCCTTTTGGCTTCTTTGAGTGTGCTAGCAGGAGAGCCAGCTGCTTTTCATCCCATGAGGGGGTGCATCTCATCTCAGAACTTTTCTGAAGCAGGTAATGTAGGCTGCCTTCAGTTGAGTTGGCTACATCAGATGAGTGTTTGCAGGTGTTAGTGTGTGCTTTCAGTTGTTTATAGACCAATCAGAGAGCCTAGCAATTTCTTTTTCTGTTTGTTTGCCTTGGTTTTAGGTACATCAGCTATCCCCGAACAGAAACAAACATTTTTCCCAGAGACTTAAACCTGACGGTGTTGGTGGAACAGCAGACCCCCGATCCACGCTGGGGGGCCTTTGCCCAGAGCATTCTAGAGCGGGGTGGTCCCACCCCACGCAATGGGAACAAGTCTGACCAAGCTCACCCTCCCATTCACCCCACCAAATACACCAACAACTTACAGGTTGGTTTCCCTGAATGTACTGCCTGCTGGAACCCATAGGGAAGTGCTGGGGGTCAGTAGTAAGGTTTGAATTTACTCTGTGGGCTGTGATTGTAAAAACAAGTGATTTTGAGATCTCTCTCATTTCACAATCCTCTGCCTGGCTTTGATAAAGACCGCCTCATCCCTCCCCGTGGTGGGCCCCCGTCTTAATCCAGCTCCACATCCCACTCTCCATCAGCTCCTGCTGCTTCCCTGCTAGTCCTTCATAGGCAACCCCTGTGCAGACCCCCACCTCCACTGTGAGCCTTGTGGCCTTCCCAGTCCCTGGAACTAGAGAATTCTATCCATCCTCCCAAGGCTGGCTCAGTTTTGGTTGCCTCCTGAAACTTTGCTGCCACCCCAGTCGTGCCACCCCCTGTCACTGCAGTTTCCCACACAGCTCTGCTTGTCTGTCTCAGTCATTTCCTCAGCCAGGGGCAGGCTCTGCAGGCACAGGAGCCATTAGGCTTGTTTACATCTGTAGGCTTCTCACAAAGTTGGGGAAATGCTTGTTTACATCTGTAGGCTTCTCACAAAGCTGGGGAAATCTTAGTCTTTTGTTCTTCTCCTCCTTCTTTTAATAAAATACATTCTTTCTGATTTTAAAAATATGGCCGGACGCGGTGGCTTATGCTTGTAATCCCAACACTGTGGGAGGACAAGGCGGGTAGATCACGAGGTCAGGAAATTGAGACCATCTTGGCCAACATGGTGAAACCCCATCTCTACTAGAAATAGAAAAATTAGTTGGACGGGGTGGCATGTGCCTGTAGTCCCAACTCTCAGGAGGCTGAGGCAGGAGAATCGCTTGAACCCAGGAGGCGGAGGTTGCAATAAGCCGAGATTGCACCACTGCACTCCAGCCTGGCGACAGAGTGAGACTCTGTCTCGGAAAAAAAAAAATTACATGTTCATTTTAGACAAATTAAGAAATACAAAAGTTTATAAGGGGGTAAAATTGCCTATTAAGCATGATATTTAACAATTACAAAGATGTGCCATAATTTATTTTGCCAAATCTGTTTTTTGTGTGTTTTTGATACTATAGTTAACATTTGTAGACATAAATATTTTTGTGGTTCTCCAGTTATTTCCTTTGAAGAAATCCTTAGAAGGGGAATTATTGGATATGTGTATAAATGTCTCATGGGCTTTTGATAGACTGAGGCTCACTAAATCATTGATTACCTAATTGAAAATTACCCTGAAAATTACTGCTTAAATGTGTGCATGAAGTTGGGCTAAGGCCACCAGGTGCAATGTTGCTGTCTCTTGTATTTGAGGAGTGTCTTGCTAACTTCTTACGCTTTCATCTTGTTTTCTGCTTAGATTGCGTTTACATCAAAGAACCACTTCCCAGTCTGGAAGGGAAGATGACTCCTTTGCTTATCTTTGCCAGATTTGAGTTGTGAGATGTGTCAACCTAAACCCATCCTCTCCCCAGGACTTGTTTGCCTGGCACTCCATGTTAGTGCAGGGCCTGAGGAGCAGTGTGGCCTCTTCTGTGCAGGACATTAGGCTAAGGCTACCAGTGATGCTCCTGTCCTTGAGAGGTGATATTCTAGGGGGAGTTTCGTACTCCTCTTTTCTTCCTAGGGAGATGAACAGCGACTGTACGAGTTTATTGTTCGCCATTTCCTGGCTTGCTGCTCCCAGGATGCTCAGGGGCAGGAGACCACAGTGGAGATCGACATCGCTCAGGAACGCTTTGTGGCCCATGGCCTCATGATTCTGGCCCGAAACTATCTGGATGTGTATCCATATGATCACTGGAGTGACAAGGTAATAAAGAGTGGTCCCCAGTGAGAGGGAGGACAGTTGTGTTGTGAGCCCTGAGTTCTCTAGTGGAGCAGGATCATGTTCCTTGAAATGAGGTTATTTTTTGCCTGAGTGTGCTGATGGAATCATCTGACTGTTGCACCTGCCGCTCCCTGTAGATCCTCCCTGTCTATGAGCAAGGATCCCACTTTCAGCCCAGCACCGTGGAGATGGTGGACGGGGAGACCAGCCCACCCAAGCTGCTCACCGAGGCCGACCTCATTGCCCTCATGGAGAAGCATGGCATTGGTCAGTGGCTCCTCTGGGTAACTCGCATCTCTTGAGCTAAGGCTTACAGTGTACCAGGTACAGGTTTCCTCTAGTCTTCAAACCATTCTCTAATGCAGCTGCTATATCTTTATCCCATTTTATAGTTGAAATAAGGCTCAGAGAGGTTAAGAACTTACCTAAGTTCACAAAGTGTGTATTATTAAAACCTGGTCTGAATAACTCCACAGTCAGTGCTCTTAAACCATGCACTGTGCTGTCCACATAGTAACAGAGACTTTTCCCATGGCTTTGAGGGCCCAACTGGGAGCACCCATTGGCCACATGAGGATTTGTTGTTCTTTCGAATAAGAACAGCATGTAAGGAACCAACAATTAAAACTTGGGACAGTTATCATAAAATCTATCTTCATTTTGAAGTGTCAGATAGAGCCCTGAGCCTCCTTCCCATGTGGAGCATTGGGTGAGGGTGGCAGCTGTCTCTGCAGGTCTGAACCCACACTGCTCACTCAGGCTGCTCACGCTGGCCTCATGTATGTGCCAGGACCCTGCTGATAAGTCCCATGGCTCAAGCTTTGCAGGTAGGGCCTTGTAACTAATCTGCTGTCCCCTCCATTCGTTTTTGTCAAGGCTCTCAAGGGCTTTCTCTGGCAAACCTAGTCCAGGAATACCTGCAGCACAGTGGAGGGGAAGCAGAGCTCCCTGGGCATGTGTTACATAAGCAGCTGCGTCATCCACAAAGGGAGTTTCTTAGGCCTATGACTTGGGAAGCAGTGCTTCAACGTGAAGTCCTTGACCATCACTAGGACATCCAGAAACCCTGCAGGTTTAGGTAAAATTAGTAGAGGTTCACCCGTCATGATTTATTTGATAAAAATGTATGAAGGCTGGGTGTGGTGGCTCACACCTGTAATCCCAGCATTTTGGGAGGCCAAGATGGGTGAATCACTTGAGCCCAGGAATTCAAGACCAGCTTGGGCAACACGGTAAAACCCCATCTTGCTGGGCGCAGTGGCTCACGCCTGTAATCCCAACACTTCAGGAGGCTGAGCTGGGTGGATCACCTGAGGTAGGGAGTTTAAGACCACCAACCTGACCAACATGGTGAAACTCTGTCTCTACTAAAAATACAAAAATTAGCCAGGCATGGCGGTGGGCACCTGTAGCTGAGATTGTGCCATTGTACTCCAGCCTGGGCAACAACAGCAAAACTCTGTCTTAAAACAAACAAACAAACAACAACAACAACAACAAAACAGATCTGGCTGGGCACGGTGACTCATGCCTGTAATCTTAGTACTTTGGGAGGCCAAGGCGGGTGGATCACCTAAGGTCAGGAGTTCGAGACCAGCCTGGCCAACATGGCAAAACCCCATCACTACTAAAAAAATACAAAAATTAGCTAGGCGTGGTGGCACATGCCTGTAATCCCAGCTACTTGGGAGGCTGAGGCAGGAGAATTGCATGAACCCGGGAGGTGGAGGATGCAGTGAGCCAGGATCGCAGCACTGCACTCCAGCCTGGGTGACAGAGTGAGACTCCATCTCAAAAAAAACATTTCTACAAAAAATTAGGTGCATGCCTATAGGTAGGGAGGCTGAGGTGGGAGGATCACTTGAGCCCGGAAGGCAGAGACTGAGGTACAAAGTGTGAGGCCCACAAGAGTGAGAGCTTGGACTAAGCACCAGGGACACAAGGAGGAATAAGACCTCATTTTTTAAGTTCTCAATCTAACAGAAGAACCAAACCAACACATTGAATACAATGTAATAGTTCTGCAGGGAGTAGGCAGGGAAGAAAATGTGATGGGTGGACTGGCATTTGAGCTGGACCAAAACCTCATAGTAAGACTTCTGGATCAGCGAAGGGCAGCCCAGTGCAGGGTAGGCCTGAGGAAGGGCACAGGAGCAGGAAAGCAGAAGCCTGCTGTAGCTGGATTGGAGGGGGGTGGCCATAGAAGGTGAGCCTGGAAAGATGATCCAAGCCTGACTTTGCAGGGCCTTGGCTTGCCCAGTTGAAGGGCTTAGATGGTGGTACATGGTCAGCAGGGAGTCTTCCAGGATTTCTAAGTAAAGGAACCACATAGAGGTACACTTACAAAAAAATAATAATAATATTTTTAAAAGATTATTAACAGGCTGGGCATTGTGTCTCACACCTATAATCCCAGCACTTTGGGAGACCAAGGTAGGGGGTCAGGAGTTCAAGACCAGCCTGGACAACATGGTGAAACTCCATCTCTACTAAAAATACAAAAAATTGCTAGGTGTTATGGCTGACGCCTGTAATCCCAGCTACTTAGGAGGCTGAGGCAGGAGAATTGCTTGAACCCGGGAGGTGGAGGTTGCAGTGAGCCAAGATTGTGCCACTGCACTTCAGCCTTGGTGACAGAGAGAGACTCCATCTAAAAAAAAAAAAAAAAAAAATTTATATATATATATATATAATTATTAACAGCTTTATTTATATACCATACAGTTTATCTCCTTCAAATGTATAATGTACATTTTTTAGCATATTCACAAAGTTGTGCAGCTATCACCACAGTCAGTTTTTTTGTTTTTTTTGTTGTTTGTTTGAGATGGAGTTTTGCTCTTGTTGCTGCAGGCTGGAGTGGAGTGGCACAATCTCTGCTCACTGCAACTTCCGCCACCCAGGTTCAAGCGATTCTCCTGTCTCAGCCTCCCGAGTAGCTAGGCTTACAGGCACGCACCACCACACCCAGCTAATTTTTGTTATTTTTAGTAGAGACAGGGTTTCACCATGTTGGCCAGGTTGGCTGGTCTCAAACTCCTGACCTCATGATCCGCCCACCTAGGCCTCCCAAAGTGTTAGGATTACAGGTGTTAGCCACCATGCCCGGCCCCTAAAAAAATTTGTTTTGGAGAGATAGCATCTTACTCTGTCACCCAGGCTAGGTCACAGCCATGAACCCTGGGTTTCAAGGGATCCTTCCACCTCAGCTTCCCAAGTAGCTGGGACTACAGGCATGTGTTGCCATACCCAGCTAATTTTTTTGTTGGGTTTTTTGTTTGTTTGTTTTGTTTTGTTTGAGACAGAGTCTTACTCTGTCACCCAGGCTGGAGTGTAGTGGCACGATTTCAGCTCACTGCAACCTCCGCCTCCCAGGTTCAAGAGATTCTCCTGCCTCAGCCTCCTGAGTAGCTGGGACTACAGGTGCGCATCACTGGCTAATTTTTGTATTTTTAGTAGAGATGGGGTTTCACTGTTAGCTAAGCTGGTCTCGAATTCCTGACCTCAAATGATCCACCCGCCTCGGTCTCCCAAAGTGCTGGGATTATAGGCCTGAGCCACCATGCCCAGCCAGACTTTTTTGTTTTATGTAGGGACAGGGTCTTGCTATGTTGCCTAGTCTGGTCTTGAACTTGCACCCTCAAACTGTCCTCCTACCTCAACCTCCCAAAGTGTTGGGATTACAGGAGTGAGCCACTGCACCTGGCCAGATTTGCCTACTTTAGTTATTTCCTATAAAGAGCCAGGCACAGTGGCTCACACCTGTAATCCCAGCACTTTGGGAGGCCAAGGTGGGCCAATCACTTGAGGTCAGGAGTTCGAGACCAGCTTCACCAACATGGTGAAACACTTTCTCTACTAAAAATGAAAAAATTAGCTGGGCTTGGTGGCAGGCGCCTGTAATCCCAGCTACTCGGGAGGCTGAGGCAAGAGAATCACTTGAACCCGGAAGGCAGAGGTTGCAGTTGATGGACACTTGAGTTGTTTCTACTCTTTGGCTATTATAAATAATCCTGCTGTGAACAGTTTTGTACAAGGTTTTGTGTGGATATGTGTTTTCATTTCTCTTGGGTAGACTTAGGAGTGGGATTGCTGGTTTACTTGGTAACTCTACATTTAACATTTTTAGGAACCACCAAACTTTTCTGAAGTGGCTGTACCGTTTTTCATTTCCACCAGCAAGGCACTAGGATTCCAGTTTATCCACATCCTTACTAACACTTAGTATTATCTCTCTTTTTGATTTTGCCAGTAGGTCTGAACTGCTATTTCACTGGTTTTTTTGGTTGTTTTTTTGTTGTTATTGTTGAGGTGGAGTCTCGCTCTGTTGCCCAGGCTGGAATGCAGTGGCTCGATCTCCGCTCACTGCAGGCTCCGCCTCCCAGGTTCATGCCATTCTTCTGTGTCAGCCTCCTGAGTAGCTGGGACTACAGGTGCCCGCCACCACACCCGGCTAATTTTTTTTTTTTTTTTTTTGTATTTTTAGTAGAGACGGGGTTTCACCGTGTTAGCCAGGATGGTCTTGATCTCCTGACCTCGTGATCTGCCCGCTTCGGCTTCCCAAATTGCTGGGATTACAGGCGTGAGCCACCACGCCCAGCCCTTTTTTTTTTCTTTTTTTTTTTAAAGAGAGTCTCACTCCATCACCCAGGCTGGAGTGCAACGGTGCCATCTCAGCTCGTTGCAGCCTCTGTCTCCTGGGTTCAAGTGATTCTCCTGCCTCAGCCTCCTGAGCAGCTGGGACTACAGGTGCGTGCCGCCACACCCTGCTAATTTTTGTATTTTTGATAGAGACAGGGTTTCAGCATGTTGGCCAGGCTGGTCTCGAACTCCTGACCTCAGATGATCTGCCCACCTTGGCCTCCCAAAATGCTGGGATTACAGGCATAAGCCACTGCTCCCAGCCTTCACTGCAGTTTTAATTTGCATTTCCTTCATGGCAGAGCTACATTTTGAAAGGTCCCTTTGGCCACAGCTTAAAGAATGGTTAGGGTAGAGGAAGAGACTAGAAATAGGGACACAAGCTGCAAGTATGGCTTGGACACATGGGGAAGAGAATTTTTAAAAAGAGCTTTGAAGCTGGAATTGACAGCTTTCCTGAGTAATGGGATGTGAGGGAACAAGAGAGTTGAGGTTGCCATTGTGATTTCTTGAATGAGCTATATGGGAATGAAATGAAGGCATCTTACCTGCATAGGCTGTCCAGGCAAAGGAGGGATTCCGGGGTGAGCAAGGTGCCCATGCGCCACCCGGGTGGAGCTGTTGTCTGTATTACCTCAGAGTAACCAGCAAGTGGCTTCCAGGTACGGATGCCACTCATGCGGAGCACATCGAGACCATCAAAGCCCGGATGTACGTGGGCCTCACCCCAGACAAGCGGTTCCTCCCTGGGCACCTGGGCATGGGACTTGTGGAAGGTAAGGGAGGACAGAGCTTGCAGTGGGTAGTGGGTGGTGTCGCCCAAGTCCCTGAGGGTCTCAGGTGGGCCCTCACTGAGCTCGACTCTCTCCCTGCAGGTTATGATTCCATGGGCTATGAAATGTCTAAGCCTGACCTCCGGGCTGAACTGGAAGCTGATCTGAAGCTGATCTGTGATGGCAAAAAGGACAAATTTGTGGTTCTAAGGCAGCAAGTGCAGAAATACAAGCAGGTTTTCATTGAAGCGGTGGCTAAAGCAAAGAAGTAAGTCCTTAAAAGAAATACAGAGGGGTCTCACTATGTTGCCCAGGCTGGTCTTGAACTCCTGGCCTCAAGAGATCTTCCCACCTCAGCCTCCCAAAGTGTGGGGATTACAGGCGTGAGCCACCGCATCTGGGCCAGTCAGAGTTTATAACCCTGCCAGATTCATCCTCACCAGTGGCCTCCTGGCCTGGAGGTTTTCCACATACCCCTTTTCTTTGGACTTTCTTCTCTGGGTTCTTTTACAACTCTCCATAGAGCTTTGTCAGTATAGAAACAGTAATCGGAACAGTCTCCTTCAGTTATTCTGAACTATTGGCTTTAGAAATACCATTCTCTTGATTTTAATTATCTTTTTTTTTTCTGCTTTAATTACATGACACATTAATTATCTTGAGTTAGGCAACAAAGTCTTTTAAATCAGTAAACCCAAGTGCTGGAGTGTGATCCATTTGTTTTCTGGAGCATTTAGAGGTGGATATTTAGCAAGCAGCATGTGTGTATTTTGTTAGAAATGATGTGTTTTCTACCTGTGATATTATGATTTATAATAAGATATATATATTTGGACTTCATTTTCTGATACCCTTGGAATTTTTTAAGTGCTGTGTCTGTTGTATACAAATGAGATGACTAGTGGCCAAGGGCTCCTGGGTAGCCTTGGGATCGGTCTGGTTGTCAGGGAACCAACCCTGTGATTAGAAGGTTGGGACTTTGAGTCCCACCCCTACCTCAGGAAGAGCAGAGGGGCTGGAGGTTGAGTTGATCACACGTGGCCAGTGATTTGTCAATCATGCCTAAGTAATAAATCCTCCATAAAATCCCCAAACAAGGGTCAGGCACGGTGGCTCACGCCTGTAATCCCAGCACTTTGGGAGGCCGAGGCGGGTAGATCACAAGGTCAGGAGTTCAAGACCAGCCTGGCCAACACAGTGAAACCCCTTTCTCTGCTAAAAAAAAAAAAAAAAAATACAAAAATTAGCCAGGCATGGTGGTGCGTACCTGTAGTCCCAGCTACCTGGGAGGCTGAGGCAGGAGAACTGCTTGAACCCGGAAGGTGGAGGTTGCAATGAGCCGAGATTGCCCCACTGCAGTCCAGCTTGGGCAACAGAGTGAGACTTCTTCAACAACAACAAAAACAAATCAAACAATTGGGTTTGGGGCACATCCAAATAGCTAAACAGGTAAAGACTCCTGGAGGGTGGGTGTTTGGGAGAGGGCATGGAAGCTACCCCTTCCCCACATCCCTTGCCCTGTGCATTGCTTCCATCTGGGTATTCACCTGGATCCTTTGTAATTAACGGGTAAGCATAAGTAAAGTGTTTCCCTGAGCTCTGTGAGCCACTCTATTGAGAATCAAACCAAGGAGGGGGTCTGAGGAACCCCAGTTTATAGCCAGTCAGTCAGAAGCACAGGTCACAGCCTGGGATTTGTGACTGACATCTGAGGGAATTTGGGGCAGCAGTCTTCTGGGACTGAGCCCTTAACCGTTAGATGGATCTCCAGGTGCATAGTGTCAGAATTGAATTGAATTAGAGGATGTCCAACTGGTGTGTGGCGGGAGAGTTGCTTGGTGTATGGGGAAAACTCCCATACATCTGGTGTCTGATGTGTGTTGTGAGACTGTAATAGAAGATAACAGTTTGTTATTTTCTGTTCTTTAGAGTACCCCATGCCAGTTGTGAAAAGGCAGGCATGAGCTAGTTTAGACTTAATACAGACAGACACTCCTGGAGTTTGTACATGGACCCTGTGCAGTTTTACTTTTTTTTTTTGAGATGGAGTTTCGCTCTTGTTGCCCAGGCTAGGGTGCAATGGCGTGATCTTGGCTCACCACAACCTCTGCCTCCTGGGTTCAAGCGATTCTCCTGCCTCAGCCTCCTGAGTAGCTTGGATTACAGGCATGCGCCACCATGCCTGGCTAATTTTGTATTTTTAGTAGAGACGGGGTTTCACCATGTTGGTCAGGCTGGTCTCGAAATTACAACCTCAGGTGATCCGCCCGCCTCGGCCTGGGATTACAGGCGTGAGCCACCACATTTGGCCCAGTTTTACTTTTTAATGTGGGCTGGTGACAAGCAGAAGCATCTGCCTGTATCTGGACTCTCCTCCCAAGAGTTGGTTCGGCACCAGGGCCCATGGTGAGCTCAGTCTTCTGTCTGCCGTCTGTTCTCTGCAGGAGGCCTGCGGCTCACTGACCAGCTGGTTCTCAAGGTCACGCCTGTTGTGTGCATGTAAGAGTGTTGTAGGTGCCTTTGCAGCGATTGCTGGCTGATGGGTGTCTGTCTTTGCCTTTTCTTCAGATTGGACGAGGCCTTGGCCCAGTACTTTGGGAATGGGACAGAGTTGGCCCAGCAAGAAGATATCTACCCAGCCATGCCAGAGCCCATCAGGAAGTGCCCACAGTGCAACAAGGACATGGTCCTTAAGACCAAGAAGAATGGCGGGTGAGTGCGCTGCCTTCTGCCCCCACCTCTGCTCCCCAGCACCTGCGGTGTCAGCCGTAGCTCGAAAGACCCTGCCATTTCACTCCATGGAATCTTTCAAGACAGGCCTGTTGTTGCCAACCTGCAGGCAAGGTGTTGGCCTAAAAGCATAGCAGGGTGGGATCAGGCCTTTGAGGTGTAAAGCACTATGGGAATTCAGAGCAGGTGAGAAACTGAATGATAGTGGGGTTTTTTTGTCCCCTGTGGATAGGACATCATATACCCAATGTGTAACACATGGAGGAGCATGAGCTTCAGATCTAGGTGGGTCTGGGTTCAAATGCCACTTATGCCGCATATAAGTGGTGTGGCCTGAAGCAAGTTACTTACCTGCTCTGAACCCCAATTTCTTCTTTTATAAAATGTCAGTACTTACAAGGCTGTGTTAAGGGTGAGGATTTGGTGAAAATGGTCAGGACTATATAGCACATTGCCTGATGTGTTGTAGATACTCAGCAGATACTACTTTTGTTCTCTCCTAGTTTTAGTTCTGAATGGGGCCTGAAAATCTCAACTCCCTTTTCGCTTTAAATATAGTAGATCTGAGTGGGCAATTTAGCTTCACATCAGGTTGTTGGAGCCAGTGGCTGGCCACTGGAGGAAGTTCACGGGGAAAGACGAGGTGGAGGGGTGGCAGCCATCATTCATCAGGTGCCGTCCCTCACTGGTGTAATGCAGGGTGGTGCTCTGTAAGCATTACCTCATCCCATTCTCCTAACTACCCTGCAAGGCAGGGATTTTTATGCAGCTTAGAGGGCTGAGGTGCTTGCTTGGAGTCAAGCAGCCGTGGTGGGCAGCAGAGTTTGAAACCGGGTTTTCACTGCCTTTTTCCATCCTGCCTGGCCCACCTGGGACTGCTGTGCTCCTTGCTGCTGAATAAGAAAGGAGGTTTCTCAACTCCTCACCTCCAGCCATCATTAACCTGGCTGGCCCAAGTGAAGAGAAGGCCACCCAGGCTCTCAGAAACAAGAGGTCTATGGGCCAGACCTGGAAGCAGGTGTCAGGGCTCGCGTCACTCACAGACAGAAGCCAGTGCCACTCTAGGCTTAGCCCAATGACTGGGCGTATATTTCAGCACTTAATAAATGCTGTCGATGGGTTTTCCTTGCTATCGGTAGGTTATTGGATTAGTACTCATTGGAATATAAGGAGAGAGAATAACTACTTTTGTTTTAGCTCTGAATTCTCCAATTCTCTGAATTGGAGAATTATTATTATTCTTTAGTTATTCGTTTGTTCTTCTGTTATTCTTTTGTAATGCTTCTCTGAGTTACTCCAGAAGGTCAGGAGATTATCTTGTGGGATTTGCCACTCCATGATTTATCTGTTAATTTCCATTTCTGAGATTGTAAATTTCTTATTTAAATGATTGGAGTTCGGGGCTTTTTTTTCCTTCATAGTGTACCCAGGCACACTCATGAGGAATTTGTAAATCACATGCATATTAGCTAGTCAAACCCTAACGTTTCATGACTGCAAGGTGTTGAAAAACATTGGCCAGGAGAGACCGGGATGGGATGGATGGGCAGTGGGTGGGGTGTAGATGTTGCAGGTGAGGCTTTGTCACAAACAGATGGGTTTCCATTCCTGGCTCCCATCCACACATGCATGCATGTCTCTGGGCAGGTTTCCAGGCCACACCAAGCCACTGTTTACTCACATGCAAACTGAGGGGGCCCCTGACACTGCCCAGACTTGGCACGAGGCAGAAAGGCAAGAATGTGTGAGTGCACAGCACAGAGCCCCTGGCGTCAGCTTGGTTGGTTGTTGGTTTTCTAAATAGAAAGCAGGGCCAGCAATAGCTGCTTTGTGCTTTTGGGATGTGAGAAGGCTCATTTTTCCCAATCAATTCAATATGAGTGCTTGTGTATCCAGTTAAGTGTCATCCAGAAAAGGGAATGTTGTCCTCGGGCAGCTGAGGAAAGGCTGCCTTAGCTGATGGCCAACAGCGGAGAGCATCTCCTGCACTCCTATCATCTGACATGGCACTTTGTCCCCAGGTTCTACCTCAGCTGCATGGGTTTCCCAGAGTGTCGCTCAGCTGTGTGGCTTCCTGACTCGGTGCTGGAGGCCAGCAGGGACAGCAGTGTGTGTCCAGTTTGTCAGCCACACCCTGTGTACAGGTGAGCTGGGCACCTGAGTCAGGTGCCTCCTCTGGAGTGTGTACACCATCTTTCCCTTGCTCCTGCCAGAACCCAGAGAGGAGTGTCGGGGATTCCACTCAGGCCCTGCAGGGGCGTAGCTGTGTTCTGCAGCAGCCAGTTCAGCAGGGCTGGTCCAGTTCTGTTGTGTTCCATGCTGTCACTGCTTTGGCAGGTATGACCCTGTTTGGAGTGGGCCATGGGCAAAGAACCATGAAGGGCTCTTTCCCTGCCCTCTCCAGATAGATGATTGCTACACCAGGCTTAGGAAATTATTCACATATTAAATACAACATCCAAGCTTGGGCTACGTAGCAAGACCCCATCTCTTTAAAAAAAAAAATTTTTATTTAAAAAAAAATTTTTTTTAAGACAGTCTCGCTGGGTTGCCCAGGCTGAAGTGCAGTGGCGCAGTCTTGACTCACTGCAACCTCCGCCTTCTGGGTTGAAGTGATTCTTCTGCCTCAGCGTCCTGAGTAGCTGGGATTACAGGCATGCACCACTATGCCTGACCACTTTTTGTATTTTTAGTAGAGACAGGGTTTCACCATGTTGGCCAGGCTGGTCTCGAACTCCTGGCCCCAAGTGATCCACCCACCTTGGCCTCCCAAAGTGCTGGGATTATAGATGTGAGCCACTGCACCTGGCCAAAAAAAATTTTAAATTAGCCAGATGTGGTGACATATGCCTATAGGCCAAGCTGGTCAGGAGGCTGAGGCAGGAGGATCGCTTGATCCTAGAGGTCTAGGCTGTAGTGAGCCATGATTTCACCACTGCTCTCCAGCCTGGAATGACAGAGCCAGACCCTGTCTCTAGAAATAAATGAATAGGCCGAGCCTGGTGGCTCAGGCCTGTAATCCCAGCATTTTGGGAGGCCGAGACAGGCGGATCACGAGGACAGGAGATCGAGACCATCCTGGCTAACATGGTGAGACACTGTCTCTACTAAAAATACAAAAAATGGCCAGGCGTGGTGGCTCACGCCTGTAATCCCAACACTTTGGGAGGCCGAGGTGGGTGGATCACGAGGTCAGGAGATCGAGACCATCCTGGCTAACATGGTGAAACCCCGTCTCTACTAAAAATACAAAAAATCAGCCAGGCGTACTGGTGGGCGCCTGTAGTCCCAGCTACTCGGCAGGCTGAGGCAGGAGAATGGCGTGAACCCAGGAGGCAGAACTTTCAGTGAGCCGAGATTGCACCACTGCACACCAGCCTGGGCGACAGAATGATACTCTGTCTCAAAAAAAAAAATTTTAATAATTTATTTCTAGTAAATGCATTGCATACTACTGTAAATAACTTGTTTTTTAGGGTAATAAAATACCTATTTTCAAAAGCAAAATAATAATGACATTAATGACATTGTTTTACATTTTGCAATTTGTATGTCTGGCTTAATAGAAGAGAGCTGGATTCCCGTATCTGCTTCTGCAGTCAGCCTGCTGAGTCATTGCATGTGCTGGAACCTCCAGGAAACTCCGTTGTATACACATGGAAGAATAAGAGCAAAATAGACATAACCTCTTAGAATTTTTTTTGAGACAGAGTCTTGCTCTGTCACCAGGCTGGAGTGCAGTGGCACAATCTTGGCTCACTGCAACCTCTGACTCCCAGGTTCAAGAGGTTCTCCTGCCTCAGCCTCCCGAGTAGCTGGGACTACAGGCGCGTGCCACCATGCCCAGCTAATTTTTGTATTTTTGGTAGAGATGGGGTTTCACCATGTTGGTCAGGATGGTCTCAATCTCTTGATTTTGTGATCCGCCCGCCTCAGCCTCCCAAAGTGCTGGGATTACAGGTTTGAGCCACCACACCTGGCCTATAAAAGAGTTTTGCACTCTCCTTGAAAGGGCTCAGGCACCCTGGAACCACACTTGGAGAACTGCTGATACAGAGACATGGGACTTCTCAGAGGTGTTTTTATTTTAGTGAATTACTGGGATCTTAGATTTCATCTGCACTGTTTCCCACTGTCCACTCCTGTGATGACTGGTGGGGGCTTGTGGTGGGCTGATAGAGGGCCTCACAGGGGACTTGTGTGGGCTTCCTGATGCATAAGGAATGGTGGAGAGAGGCCTAGGGCTAAAGCAGCCCTCACTGGACTAAGGAGAAGCTGGCATCTGGTTGTTAATGTTTTTTCTCATCTTCTGGCCTCACTAGGTTAAAGTTAAAGTTTAAGCGCGGTAGCCTTCCCCCGACCATGCCTCTGGAGTTTGTTTGCTGCATCGGCGGATGCGACGACACCCTGAGGGAGATCCTGGACCTGAGATTTTCAGGGGGCCCCCCCAGGGCTAGCCAGCCCTCTGGCCGCCTGCAGGCTAACCAGTCCCTGAACAGGATGGACAACAGCCAGCACCCCCAGCCTGCTGACAGCAGACAGACTGGGTCCTCAAAGGCTCTGGCCCAGACCCTCCCACCACCCACGGCTGCTGGTGAAAGCAATTCTGTGACCTGCAACTGTGGCCAGGAGGCTGTGCTGCTCACTGTCCGTAAGGAGGGCCCCAACCGGGGCCGGCAGTTCTTTAAGTGCAACGGAGGTAGCTGCAACTTCTTCCTGTGGGCAGACAGCCCCAATCCGGGAGCAGGAGGGCCTCCTGCCTTGGCATATAGACCCCTGGGCGCCTCCCTGGGATGCCCACCAGGCCCAGGGATCCACCTAGGTGGGTTTGGCAACCCTGGTGATGGCAGTGGTAGTGGCACATCCTGCCTTTGCAGCCAGCCCTCCGTCACACGGACTGTGCAGAAGGATGGACCCAACAAGGGGCGCCAGTTCCACACATGTGCCAAGCCGAGAGAGCAGCAGTGTGGCTTTTTCCAGTGGGTCGATGAGAACACCGCTCCAGGTGAGGCAGGGAGGGGCATGGGAATCCCTGCCTTCAGTTTTCAGGTGTTTACCTCAGAGACTGGGGACAGCAGAAAGAAGGCAAGGCAGGGTCATGGTGGGATTGGGAGGGGCACCTGGGCTGCCTTGCACCTCACTTTTCCTCACTTGATCACTTTCAGCAAGGTGATAATTGTACAGTCCTCATTCCAAATTAAAGGGTAGCTACCAGTAATGGTGTCACTTGCCCTATGCCTGGCACTATGCTAAGTATACTTCCTGTGCATCTTCCATCCTCATTGGGTAAGCATTATGATCACAATTTTACTTATAAGTGAGAAAGGTGAGACCCAGACACATGAAGTGGGTATTGCTCAGGGTCCCATAGCAACAGACACCAGGATGAGTACATAGGCCTTCCCAGTCCCATGGCCATGTGCCCTTGCAGCTGTCGTGACCCTTGGCAGACCATAAGCATCAGCCTCATTTCTTTTTTTTTTTTTTTTTTTTTGGAGACTGAGTTTTGCTCTTGTTGCCCAGACTGGAGTGCAATGGTGCAATCTTGGTTCACTGCAACTTCCACCTCCCAGGTTCAAATGATTCTCCTGCCTCAGCCTCCCAGGTAGCTGGGATTACAGGCATGCACCACCACGCACAGCTAATTTTGTATTTTTAGTAGAGACGGGGGTTTCACCCTGTTGGTTAGGCTGGTCTCGAACTCCACCTCAGGTGATCCACCTGCCTTGGCCTCTCAAAGTGCTGGGATTACAGGCGTGAGCCACCGTGCCTGGCCCAGCCTCATTTCTTCAGATGAAGATGCCAACCCCGATGATATTTAGGAACCTGCCCAGGGTGACACAGCTTGGGCCAATGTCCGGGAACTGGGTGTCATGAGAAGTGGCACCTGGACATTGCATCAAGTTGAATGGTGTACGTGGAGGCACTTTGAATGGTTCCTCCTGCTCCAGTGCACAACAGAGCTTAAGTAGCTGAGAATGACCCAAAGGCCTAGTGGGAGCTTTGGAGTTGAGCAAATCTGGTTCCAAAGCTCAGCAGTATAACCTTGAACAAATGACTTAGCCTCTCTGCCTCAAGTTTGCTCAACAAGATGGTCCCTGCCTACATTCATAGGGTTCCTGTTTTAGAAAGGAGTTTAGTCTCAGACTATGATTCTTACACATGTGTCACTAGCCCGGCATGCACAGAAAGAAACCAGAGGTTTGGTAAAAACTGTGGGACTTGGAACTGGCTACCAGTGCTAATGGGGCCCAGAGATGGCCATTGCAGTGAGAGACCCACATTTGAAGTGAGATGCAGTCTGGCCTCTTGTCTCCCCACTTGGAAGGACATGGTATCTGACCTCCAGGCTGGCTGACTGACTGTCCTGGGTAAATGAGCAGCTGGTCTGGAAAGGCCTGTTGAGGGGACAGGAAGGGATCCAGAGCTGGACTTTCCTGCATGGAGGTGGGCCGCAGGTTGCCGGTCATAGGCTGCTTGTCTTTCCCACCCTACCACACAGGCCAGCTTGCTTGGGTTTCTGCCTCTGTAAAAAGGGCCGGCATGAAAGTCCACTTACCAAGTGAGTGTGGGACAATGTCTCCAAAGCTTAGGATTCTTGAGGGAGAGGTGTCAGGTAACATAAGGCAGCAGGCACATCGCACCTCAACCTTACAGAGTTGGACACAGTGTGAAGGGAGGCTGGCTGGTGGGGTGTACATGGCTGTATAAAAACTGATTCAGCCGGTCGGGCGCGGTGGCTCATGCCTGTAATCCCAGCACTTTGGGAGGCCGAGGCGGGTGGATCACGAGGTCAGGAGATCGAGACCATCCTGGCTAACACAGTGAAACCCCGTCTCTACTAAAAATACAAACAATTAGCCGGGCATGGTGGTCGGTCCCTGTAGTCCCAGCTACTCTCGGGAGGCTGAGACAGGACAATGGCGTGAACCCGGGAGGCGGAGCTTGCAGTGAGCCAAGATTGCACCACTGCATTCCAGCCTAGGCGACAGAGCCAGACTCCACCTCAAAAAAAAAAGGCCGGGCACGGTGGCTCACGCCTGTAATCCCAGCACTTCGGGAGGCCAAGGCGGGCGGATCACAAGGTTAGGAGATCGAGACCATCCTGGCTAACATGATGAAACCCGTCTCTACTAAAAATACAAAAAATAAAGTAGCCGGGCGTGGTGGCGGGTGCCTGTAGTCCCAGCTACTCGGGAGGCTGAGGCAGGAGAATGGCGTGAACCCGGGAGGTGGAGCTTGCAGTGAGTGGAGATCACGCCACTGCACTCCACACTCCAGCCTGGGTGACAGAGCGAAGACTCCATCTCAAAAAAAAAAAAAAAAAAAAAAAAAGTTGGTTCAGCCTTATCGTCTGCTGCTCTTTTTTTTTTTTTTTTTTTTTTTGAGACAGGGTCTTGCTCTGTTGCCCAGGCTGGAGTGCAGTGGTGTGATCACAGCTCACTGTAGCCTCCCAGGCTCAGGCATCCTCCCGAGTAGCTGTGACCACAGGCATACACCACACCTGGCTAATTTTTGCATTTTTTAAAGACAAGGTTTCACCATGTTGCCCAGGCTGATCTTGAACTCCTGGGCTCAAGCAATCCTCCTCCCTCAGCTTCCTAAAGTGCTGGGATTACAGGCATGAGCCACCGTGTTCAGGACTTGCCACTTCTGCATGTCAGTTCTAACCTCACCCCTCCCCTGACTCTCCCGACAGGGACTTCTGGAGCCCCGTCCTGGACAGGAGACAGAGGAAGAACCCTGGAGTCGGAAGCCAGAAGCAAAAGGCCCCGGGCCAGTTCCTCAGACATGGGGTCCACAGCAAAGAAACCCCGGAAATGCAGCCTTTGCCACCAGCCTGGACACACCCGTCCCTTTTGTCCTCAGAACAGATGAGCTCAGGGTAGGGTAGAGAACGCCACTTTCTCAGACCTGTCCCCTTTGTGTTTAGAAATGAGTTAACCAGGACCAAGTGGCCATTTAGTGTCCTGGAAACTTAGAGGACAGTGTTGGCCTTTGGAGTCGGGCCTTCTTGTGTTAAGGGGCACAAGGTCCAGATCACTCTGGAGCAGGCCAGCTCTGCTGGACAGTGACCCTCTTCCCAGGCCTCAGGAGTGACCATAGCCACTGCTGAAAAGTCACGCAGCTGCTCCCTCGGACCCCCCAAGGATGGTTGCTGTTAGCAGAGGATTGGTGCAGTCCCAGCTGAAGCCCACTGTGTGCCAAAGGAAGAAGCTCCCAGGGCTGCTTCCTTCACCTGCAGAAAGCCCCAAGTGAGCCACCAGCACTCATGGGGCAGTCCCTGTCCAGGCTGCCCAGGGCTTCTCATAGACGTCCTGAGAAGGACGGTGTAATGCAAGGAAATGGCTGTGGTAACACTGATCCTTCAGAAGAAGCTTCATTCCCTCTTAATCTAGTTAAGCCAGGACATCCAGAATTCATTGCTTTAATAAAGAACCCAGGCCGGGTGCAGTGGCTCATGCCTGTAATCCCAGCACTTTGGGAGGCTGTGGGGGGCGGATTGCCTGAGCTCAGGAGTTCGAGACCAGCCAGGGCAACATGGTGAAACCCTGTCTCTACTAAAATACAAAAAATTAGCCAGGTGTGGCGGTGTGCGCCTGTAGACCCGGCTACTCAGGAGGCTGAGGCAGGAGAATTGCTTGAACCCGGGAGGCGGAGGTTGCAGTTAGCTGAGATTGCGCCACTGGACGACAGAGCGAGACTCAGTCTCAAAAAAAATTTAAAAATTTAAAAAAATAAAAAGAATCCAACCCCGGCAGGGCGTGGAGGCTCACACCTGTAATCCAGCACTTAGGGAGGCCAAGGCTGGAGGATTGCTTGAGATCAGGAGTTCAAGACCAGCCTGGGCAACATAGTTAGACCTTGTCTCTATTTTTAAAAATATAACAAGCACAGTTGTACACGTCTTTAGTTCAGCTGCTCAGGAGGCTGAAGTGGGAGGATCCTTTGAACCCAAGAGTTTGAGGCTGCAGCAAGCCATGATCACACCACTGCACTCCAGCCTGGGTGACAGAGTAAGACCCTGTCTCAAACTTTTTTTAAAATGAAAGAATCCAACCTTTTTTTACTCTGACCTGCGAGAGTGCAGAGGGTCTGGGGAACATTTGCAGAAGCAACAGGTACCAGCCAGTGCTGGAAGGAGCTCACCCTGGGAGGTCTCGTCAGCCTCTGTCCTTCATGGCTGTCCCTTGTGTCCCATGTGGAGAGCCCTTCCTCCCTTTCCACATGGTAAGCACTGAGCCCAATTTCTTCTCACCCCACAGATGGTCCCTCAGAGCAGAGATGTCTAATGAAAGGTTCAGATTCAGATCACTAACTTTCCATCTTCCACTTTTTCCAGTGGTGGCCATGTTCCCCCGTTTGCCTTCACAAAAACCTTGTGAATAATACAAGCCATATGGACTCTGATTTACAGTTTAGAAGATGAGCAGAGGTGGGTGTGAGTTGCCCAGTCATGTTGCTAGTTGTTGAAGAAACTAGGATTGTTCTCAGGTCTTGGGCTCCTGGCCCATAGACCAGTGGCTCTGTGTTCTGATGGGGTATTGGGGAGGATTTTTACAAATGCAGGTTCCTGAGATTGTTCCTGGAACATCTCCGAGTGGGTGTGGGTTGTGGCCCTGCGTGTGTGATTTTGCCTATCCCAGCTCCGGGGTACCACCAACCACTTTTTGTCTCTGTGGGTTTACCTACTCTGGATATTTTGTTTAAATGGAATCATACCAGGCTGGGCACAGTGGCTCACGCCTGTAATCCTAGCACTTTGGGAGGCCAAGGTGGGCAGATCACCTGAGGTCAGGAGTTCGAGACCAGCCTGACCAATATGATGAAACCCCGTCTCTAAAAAAATACAAAAATTAGCCGGGCGTGGTGTCAGGCACCTGTAATCCCAGCTACTCAGGAAGCAGAGGTTGCAGTGAGCTGAGATCGGGCCATTGCACTCCAGCCTGGGCAAAAAGAGTGAAACTCTGTCTCAAGAAAAAAAAAAAAATGAAATCCTACCATACATGACATCCTGTGTCTGGTTTCTTTGACTTGGCTGATGTTTGTCAGGCTCATCCACATTGTAGCATGTCAGTCCTCGATGTTTATGATAAGCTGATAGCCCACTGTATGAATATACCACACGATTATCCATTTGTCAGTTGATGGACATTGGGTTGTTTCCACTTTTTGGCTATTGTGAATAGCACTGTTGTGAACATTGGTGTATGAGTGTCTGATGACTTGTTTTCAGTTATTTTGGGCATATGCCGAGGAATGGAATTGTAGTTTTATACCATAACTCCATGTTTTGACTTTTTGAGGAACCTACAAATTTTCCACAGTGGATGCACCACTTTACACCCACCAGCAGCACACCAGGGTTACTGCTTCTCCATATCCTTGTGAACACTTGTTCCTTTCCTTTTCTTGTATTATAGCCATCCTAGTGTTTTGTCATCCTAGTGGGTATGAAGTGGCGTGTCATTGTGGTTTTGTTTTGCATTTTCCTAGTCATTAATGACATTGACCATCTTTCCACAGGCTTACTGGCCATTGGTATACATTCTTTGGAGAATGTCGATTTAAGTTCTTCACCCATTTTTTATTTTTTATTTTTTATTTTTTTTTGAGATGGAGTTTCGCTCTTGTGCCCAGGCTGGAGTGCAGTGGTGCGATCTTGGCTCACTGCAACCTCTGCCTCCTGGGTTCAAGCAGTTCTCCTGCCTCAGCCTCCCAAGTAGCTGGAATTACAGGCATCTGCCTCCACACCCAGCTAATTTGTTTAGTATTTTTAGTAAAGACGGGGTTTCACCATGTTGGCCAGGCTGGTCTCAAACTCGTGACCTCAGGTGATCTACCAGCCTCGGCCTCCCAAAGTGCTAGGATTAACAGGCAGGAGCCATCACACCTGGTCTCTTCCCCCATTTTTAAATTGTGTTGTCTGTCTTTGTTGTTGAGTTGTAGGAGTTCTTAATAGTTTCTGGATATCAGATGCCTTTGTGGTTTTCACATCTCTGCAGGCAACTGTGTGTCTCAAAAGCAAACTGCAGGATTGGGCTGCACCATGGACTGGGCCAGGCATCTGAGATCAGACAGACCCAGGCTCAGCTCCCACTTCCTGGCCTCTTCTGCCACCCTGGGTGTGCAGCCTCATCCTTGGAGCCCCAGTTGCCTCATCCGTAATGGGGTGTCCTTGTTCATATTGAGGCTCTCTAGTGAAGGCTTACGGTCAGGCACGACTGCAAATTAAAGCTTCACAAATCAAACCTGTTGGAATTTCTAAGTCTCTCTCGATGGCCCACTCAGGTTAGCAGCATGCAGCTCATCCTACCCCGTCAACGTTGACTGGAAGGGTTTTTAGTCCCTGTGTTGAGCCACATCTGCAGCTTGTGCAATGCAAAACCAAGGAAAAGAAAATGGACCCCCCCCGCCCCCCCCTTGATGGATCTAGCTGAGACTAGGCACTGGCCAGGCTGTCACCTACAGTGGTTTCAACCTCCTGCTGCCAGCAAGACAGCATCTCCTGTCCTTTTTGTGCAGGAACCATAGCTCTGTTGGGTTAAGTGTTTTCCTCTACCAAGCAGCTAACCTGGCCTTGAAACCTAATCTCTGATGCCATGTCCCCCCAAGCCCCATCAGAGTTTTGTAAAAAGCCCCTCCCTGCTCTCCACACCAATGCTGAGAGCCCATGGGGTAACTGGAGGCTTCCCTGCCATCTTGGCAAAGAAGCCTGGCTGACGTCCTGCACATGCTTCCCCAGGTGATTGCTTGCACTTAACAGCAGAGGAAACGAGACCACCCCACACAACTTGTAGCAGTTGAGGAGTCTCTGCCTGATCCCACCCCGGATACTTAGAGCATCCAGAATTAAAAATAAGCCTTGTCACCAACATCCGGCTCCCCCACTCCCCAGAGCCAGGCTCAATGTGCCCAACAGCGCTGGGGCCCGCACCTGGAGGCACTGGCTTTTGAGACACTGGGCAGAGACCCCACTGCCCTTTGGGATGAATTCACCACCTGCCTCTTATAGAATCCGGCCGAAGACCTGGGATGTTCACATTCAGCTGGATCTCCAGGTTTCTTGGACTGGAACACAGGTGGCCCCAGCTCAATATGCTCACCAGGGTGTTGCCACTCACCTGTTGACCGTCCCTACCAGGGACAGATCTGTGCACCCCATCCCCACCTTAGACCACCAGCTCACACACAGGTGGTGTTGGTGCAGTGGTTAATGTTAGGTGTCAACTTCACTAGATTAAGGGATGCCGAGATGGCTGGTATTTTTTCTGGGTGTCTGTAAGGGTGTTGCCAGAGGAGAGTGACATGACTCGGTGGACTGAGAAAGGAAGACCTACCCTCAATGTGGGTGGGTACCATCCAATCAGCTGCCAGCACGGCCAGAACAACAGGTGGAAGAAGGGGGATGAGCACCTTGCTGAGTCTTCTCCAGCCCTCTCCCTCTTCCGTGCCAGATGCTTGCTTCCTCTTCTCTGCTGTTGGACATCAGACTCCAGGTTCTTCGGCATTTGGACTCTGGGACTTGCACCAGCAGCTTCCTGGAGCCTTCTGCCACAGACTGAAGGCTGCACTGTGGGCTTTCTGGTTTTGAGGCTTTTGGACTTGGACTCAGCTATGCTACCGGCTTCTTTCCACAGCTTGTAGATGGCCTATTCTGGGACTTCACCTTGTAATCCTGTGAGCCACTTCTCCCTAATTAACTCGCTTTCTATATATTACATACAGCCTATTGGTTCTGTCCCTCTGGAAAACACTAATATAGAGTCAGGGTCTGGCCTGCAGTCTGAACCTGAAAGGTTCCTTCTGAAACCCACGCAAGCGAGCCCCAGTGGCCTCCCTGCCTGCCAGAGGCCGCAGCCCACTGAACTGATTGGTCTTATCGTCTCAGGAATTCGGCAAGCAATGCAGAGATGACCCAGTGCAGGTCACCAGAGTCACCGGTGTTTGTCTTTGGAACACACCTGGGTTTTCTCCACTACAACCTTAGCTTTCTCAAGGAATTAAGATTATATATATATCCTGATTACAAAAGAAAAGTGTCATTAAAAACGCAAATGTTGGCCGGGCACAAGTGGCTGACACCTGTAATCCCAACACTTCGGGAGGCTGAGGCAGGCAGATCATTTGAGGTCAGGAGTTCGAGACCAGCCCAGGCAACATGGCGAAACCGTCTCTACTAAAAATGCAAAAATCAGCCGAGTGTGGTGGTGCATGCCTGCAAACCCGGCTACCCAAGAGGCTGAGAGGCAGGAGAATTGCTTGAACCAGGGAGGTGGAGATTATAGTGAACAGAGATTGGGCCACTGTACTCCAGTCTGAGTGACAGAGCAAGACTCCGTTTCAAAAAAAAAAAAAAAGCAAATGTTGGCTACACACAGTGGCTCACGCCTATAATCCCAGTACTTAGGGTGGCCGAGCTGGGAGGACTGCTTGAAGCCAGGAGTTTGAGACCAGCTTGTAATCCCAGGGGTAATCATGGCTCACTGCAGCCTCGCCCTGCTAGACTCAAGCCATCCTCCCACCTCAGCCTCCTGAATAGCTGGGCCCATAGGTATATACCACACCTGGCTAATTATTTTTTGTAGAGATGAGGTCTATGTTGCCCCTGCTGGTCTCGAACCCCTGGCCTCAGGCAGTCCTCCCGCTTCAACCTCCAAAACGCTGGGATTACAAGCATAAGCCACTGTACCTGGCCTGTTTTTTTGTTTGCTTTTTTAAATATTAGCAGATACGGAAACGAGCTGAACAGGTCAGCTCTACGGGAATAAATGGTCCCCCTTTGAGGACAATCCCACAGCTAAGTATTCCTGAAGAGAAGTGCGTACAAGTGGATTTACAAAAAGGAAATGCTATTTGGTCAAATTTATTACAGTTAGTGGTAGAGGATCTATGGGTGACATTTTCAAAGGACTACATTTAGATTCTCCATTTTTGGAGTCCTTTTTTTTTTTCTAAAATCTTCCCTAGCGACCCTTGCATTCTGAGCAGGGGTAGTCACTGCCTTACCAGAGTCATCAAGGATCCTGGCTCTGGGTTACTTGGTGAAGGTAAAACAAGGAATTTGAGTCACCACAGTGTTAAGACACTGAGGCCTAGGCAAGCCCATACCGTGCTCCCAGGCAGGCAGGGCAGAGGCTGTCCTTGCCTCGCGGGGAGGGGAGTGGGTGGGATTTCACAGCCCATCAGGACAGCCCAGGACCCGGCAGCCCTGGGAGTGGGTGGGATTTCACAGCCCATCAGGACAGCCCAGGACCCGGCAGCCTAGGGCGTGAGGTCATGCAAAGCTCCTAGCAAAACAGTGATTTGTTTCCAGTTCTCTGGCTAGAAACGGAAGACCCAGACATTAACCTTGGCTAGGTGATGAAACCACGAACACTTTTAACTCATCCTGGATTTTTTTTTTTTAAGCCATGGTATGAGACAGTACATTTAGAGCTACCTGAAGCAAGTGGCTTCTACATCAGGCTTGTGTTGGGGTCTGGTCGTCGAAGGAGTGGCACTCTAGACTGAGCTTGCTTCCTGGACAGCTGCGCTCTGACCAGGGGCTGGAGTGGCATCTGGGAGCACCTTGCTGTGCTGGGGCTTGGATGTGGCTGGAGGGTGGGGCACAGCTAGGCCCACCAGTCCTCGTTCCCAGGCATTATGTTAAGCACTGCCCACCCCAGTTAATCGTCACAAGCACCTGGGGTTGGGTATTACATGACCCTCCCCAGTTAAGAGATGAGAAGACTGAGGCACAGGCTCTGCCCCAGACTGTTCCCTTGCTGCCCCAACACCGCCAAGGAAACTGCTCAAAGCTCTCCAGCATCAAGGCATCAAGTGATTGGAATGGACCTCAGCCAAGTGATTGGAATGGACCTCAGCCAAGTGTCTCCCACCTTGGACCCTTATAATATCCTCTACAAGGAGCCCTCGTGCCCGCCTCTTGCCCTACACCCAACACCTAGAGGCCTACACCACTATTCCATTTGCTTGGCACAGTCCTGCTTCCCTTGGGTCCTGCAGTCACAGCTGGAAGGGGTAGGGGAGTCCCCTCAGGACGTAAGTCGGGGAAGGACCAGCAGGGTGCGAGTGGCACAGCTAGGCTGGAAGCAGCCCTGCACGCAGACCAGAGCCCTCCCCAGCCCACATGTGTCATCTGGTGATAGGAAGTGAGCCCTGGCTTTGGCTCTTGCGGGTGAGAGGGTTAAGATGCCCTGGCCTCTCACCTGCACAAGGCGGGGCAAGTTTCCTCCCCACTTGTGCAGCCACAAAGAGGTGCAAGGGAGGTAGAGAACACACATTTCTGGCCGGGTGCGGTGGCCCATGCCTGTAATCCCAGCACTTTGGGAGGCCAAGGCAGGCAGATCACAAGGTCAAGAGATCAAGACCATCCTGGCCAACATGGTGAAAATCCATCTCTACTAAAAATACAAAAATTAGCCGAGCGTGGTAGCGCGCACTTGTAGTCCCAGCTACTCGGGAGGCTGAGGCAGAAGAATTGCTTTAACCCGGGAGGCAGAGGTTGCAGTGAGCCGAGATCGCACCACTGCACTCCAGCCTGGGCGACAGAGTGATACTCACTCTCAAAAGAAAAAAAACACAGGTTTCTAAAAAATGATGAGCATGGCTGAAGGGCTGTCAACAGCCCACTAATTACAGAAAGTATGGTGCAGGGCTCAGCAGTTCAGCCTTGCGGGAAGAAACATCCCAAACTGGCTGGTTCCCATTACTAAAGCAACACCAAGCTTTTCATCTTTTCCTTCCACTTACCTTACTTGTCACGGACAGAAAGTCTGTGTCCCCTTCAACTTGTATGCTGAAATCCTAACCCCCAAGGCACTGCTAACAGGAGATGGGGTCTTTGGGAAGTGATTCGATCATGAATGTGGGCCCCCACCCCATGGGTGGGCTTAGTTTCCTTATAAGAGACCCTAGGAGAGCATTTCCCCCCTTCCTCCACATGAGGACAGCTAGATGGGGACACCTATGAACCAGGATGTGGGCTCTCAACCAAACATGGAATCTGTGACTCACTCTTGGATTTCTAGCCTCCAAAATGGTAAGACATAAATTTCTGATGTTTATAAGCCACCTAGTCTATGGCATTTTGTTATCACAGCCCAAACAGACTGAGATGCTAATTTATTATTACTATTATTATTTTATTTTATTTTATTTTGAGACAGAGTTTCACTCTTGTTGCCTAGGCTGGAGTGCACTGGCACGATCTCAGCTCACCACAACCTCCGCCTCCCGGGTTCAAGCAATTCTCCTGCCTCAGCCTCCCAAGTAGCTGGGATTACAGGCATGTGCCACCATGCCCAGCTAATTTTTTTGAATTTTTACCAGAGATGGAGTTTCTCCACGTTGGTCAGCCTGGTCTTGAATTCCCAACCTCAGGTGATCTACCGGCCTCGGCTTCCCAAAGTGCTGGGATTATAGGCGTGAGCCACAGCGCGGGGCCAAGATGCTTATTTATTTATTTTTTTGAGACAGAGTCTTGCTCTGTCGCCAGTCTGGAGTGCAGTGGTGCAATTTCAGCTCATTGCAACCTCTACCTCCCGGGTTCAAGCAATTCTCCTGCCTCGGCCTCCCGAGTAGCTGGGACTATAGGTGCGTGCCACCACGCCCAGCTAATTTTTGTCTTTTTAGTAGAGTTGGGGTTTCATCATGTTGGTCAGGATGGTCTCGATCTCTTGACCTCGTGATCCGCCCGCCTCGGCCTCCCGATGTGCTGGGATTACAGATGCGAGCCACCACACCCGGCCAAGATGCTACTTTTTAAAGTAAACTCTACCACCTCCAATTGACCTCAAGCACTCTTGCCAAAGTGCCAGGACAAGCCACAGGACTTACAGAAAACCCTCAACAGCTGCGTATGAAAGCACCAAGACTCCCTTATCCAGCCTGAGTTATATATACATTAGAATTTTTTCCTTTTATTCTTGTTCACATCTTCGAAGCTGAGCTTCGTTTCAAAAGGAAGGATACCAGAGGCAGGAGGAGGGTCACTTGGGAGGGGAGGTGGAATCTCCCTCCTCTAGCCCCCTTGCTACCTCTTAACAGGCTTCAAAGTCAGAATACAGCCATCAGCTGAGAGCAGTTCATTTTGGCACACTGGGAGGCCGGCTGTGCACACCGGACCTCTCTAGTGGGGGATCAGGTCCTCTGCTCTCCAGTGGGGCCTGGAACAGCTCCAGTGAGATGCCCCAGCTGTGGGCTGGGGGTGCAGCACAGAGCCTCAGCTCCCCCAGGACCCTCAGCTGCCTGAAGAAAACACTCACCTGGCTGGAGGGAAAAAGGGCCTTGCCCTGAGGTATCAGGTGGGTGGCAAGTCATACTGAGCTCCCGCTCAGCAAGAAAACTAAACGCACAGAAGACAGCAGGAAAATGCCATCCTTTAACAGCCAAAAATCTGTCCTTCAGGGGCACCAGGTGACTCCAGCCCCTGGGGGACAGAACAAACACACCATACCTACCATCAGGCACCAGACGCCTCAAAACGCCTGGAGCTAGGGCCGGAAAAGGCGTTAAGTCACCTTCTCTCAGCAGAAATGTGAAGCTGGCCTTCAGCTTCTGCCCAGGATGGCAGAAACCACATTCTGTTGGTGGATTGGTTGCTGGTGATGGACAGAGCCAAAGGTCCTGGGGTTGGCCCCAAGAGCTGAAACGGTGCTTGCAGGAATGGCTGGCACTCCAAGCTGCCTGAGGCAGCCCAGCTGCACTCAGGTGACAGTGACCCAAGCTCTCTGGGCTCAGGGTTTATGGCCACCATAGCCCAAGCACATCCTGATGCCCTGGGTTTAAGTAATGTACCCTCCTTTGTTCTGGCAAAAAGCTAGAGAAAAACCACTATTCAAATCCCTGGAAGGGAGGTGGGTGCAGCTCCCCAGCATTAGAAAACATGGCAACCACCCGTTTCCACCCACCTAGAGCAGCCCCTCGGGCTCCTGTAGGCCACTGTATAGCGCATAGCCAATGTCGTCAATCTCCTCCTCACGCAAGCTGCTGAAGAGGTTCACGCTGGGGTTGAAGTGGCAGGGCAGGCTGGCCTGCTCCAGGCTGCCGATGAGCAGCTCCAGGGCTTGCAGGAAGCGCTCACCCAAGGCCTCCTCCGTCCAATCCACGTTGTCCTCCCCCAGACGCAGGACCACCTGGGTCAGGTGACCCCGGCCTAGCTGCCCCAGAGCCGAGCAACCACGGCAGACAGCACACAGCAGCAGCAGCAGCCGCCGGCGAGTCCCAGCGTCATGGTCGTCCAGGGCTCGCAGCCTAGCAGCCTCCACTGGATACAGGTCCTGCAGCCAGAGGTTCCCCGCCAGCCCCTCCAGGGGCCAGGCCAAGAGGAGGCGGTCGTCAGCATCGACCCCAGGGACTGCCACAAGCACAGCCACAGTGAGCTCCAGGCGTTCGTGCTGCACCTCGAGCAGCAGCTCCTCCGAGGCCATGCTGGGCCGGATCAGGCACCCGAGAAGGCTGCCAATGGCCGGCCAGTTGACAGAAGCAGCCAGCGCCTTGCGGAGTAGCTCCAGCAGGACGCGGGAGGAGAGGTAGCCCCCGACCAGGAAGCGGTCCCAGGGGCTGCTCCCACGGGGGCAGAACTCAAGCTGCGTCCTGCGCACGGCCCAGCAGCGAGGGTCCCTCGCCACAGTGTCCACGCCCGGCACCAGGCTCCACAGGCCCGGCTCCAGCACCAGTGGCACCAGGAGACGCACATGGTCCGCAGCCCCCGCCTGCAGCCCGTCGTAGAGCGGCCCCCCAGGCACGAATGCCCCAAAGGGCAGTTCCGGGAACTTGCTCCGAAAGTAGGCCTGCAGCTCCAGGGCGATGTCGCCAGCCAGCTGTTTGGCCAAAGCCACCTGGGCTGCTGGGATGGTCACACGGTCCCGCTCGAAGGCCAGCAGCCTCTCCTGCAGTGTCAGACACAGCGGTGCTGGGGAGCTGAGCTGTGGTGTCACCTCAGGATCAGTTTCTGCAGGCCCTTCTGCAGAGTGAAGGGGCGGGGAACATGTCGGAACAGCCTGTGATTAGTTAAGAAAACGCCACCGAGAACTAGCTGTGTGATGTCCCAGGGCCTCACTTTTCTCACCTGCAGTGGCACCTGAGAAGGCACTCAGTTCAGATCCTCACATATAGTGAGCTCTTGGTGACGAGTTCTCATTGCCCCAGAGTCCAACACCCTGGCGACAACAGCTTCATGCAGAGTAGGTAGGTATGTCACGCCCCTCTGGACCTCAGTTTCCCCATCTAAAGCTCCCCACCATCACAACGCTACCACCTTGCTCCAGGAACAGGGCAAAGAAACACCACCCCCATTAAATATCTGAGGAGCCCACAACCGAGAGAGAAGCAGGGACTCGCGCAGGGTCACACAGTCAGTCAGGGCAAAGCCTGGGCTGCGTCTCTTGAATGTGACACCAAAAGAGGGGAAGGAGTGCCACTCACCTGGGGCAGACGACGAGGGGGCCAAGGGCAACACTGGCTGGCTAAGGGCAGCAGGTGGAGGCCGGGGCTGCAGGTGTGGTGTGGCCTTGAGCAGGCTCAGTTCCTTCCAGCTGTCTGCCTTGGTGTCATCCTCATCCCGCGGGCTAGTGGCCCTGTCAATGAACTGCAAGCACAGTCACACAGATCAGTGTATATGAAATCTGGGCAGTCATAGCAAAGCCCAGGGCAAAGCAGACCAGCGTGCTGGGTGGAGAAGCAGGTGCCCTGGGCTCCCATGAAGGCCTTGGGCAGTCCCCACCCCTCCCCAGGGCCCCTCTGAAAAGCCCAACCCTGTTGTCCTCCTCTAGGAGCTTCAGGCATGACCCGCCCACTTGGCCTTACCCGCTTCACGGCCAGGGTGGCAATGCCCAGCACAGCAGCCCCGCCCACGCCCAGCACCAGGCGGGCATTGGCCAGGAGGAAGTCCACCATGCTGCCCAGCCCTTCGTCGCTACGCCGCTTCCCCCGTTTCTGGGAGAACTCTGCCATGGTCTGCCTGTAAGAGAGCCAGGGGTGAAGGGGCAGCTCAGGTGCAGGTGGCCAGGCTGGGAGAGGGGCTGCTGTGGACAGGTGCTCTAGCTGTCCTTATGCTGGGTAACAGAGCTGAGCCCATGAGGGGGGCTTTCTGAGAATTTCTCAGAGAAAGGGGCCACCCATCCACAGGGGAGGACACCGAGGCCCTGGGAAATCACGTAAAGTACCTGAGAAAGGGCAGGGATGGGATATGAGCTTGGGTTTTGGGGTCCCAAGCCCCCATCTCTCATGAGGAGATGAGGGAGCTGCCAAGCCCCTTCTCCCAAAGCTGCCTGGAAAGAAGCTCACAAAGGCCCTGAGGCTTGTGCAGGTATAGGAAGGGGCCTCTCTCCCTGGAGCCCACCCTCCAGGACCTCTGACATCACCAGGGTGTCATCATCACTACCCCTATGTTACAGAGCTACAGGCTGCCAGCTCACAAGTGAGTGGTAAGGTCTCCAACCCATGACTGCAAGGCCTCCAGACTCTCATCCGCCCACAGAGTCTGACGGATTCTCCCTGTGCCAGGTGCCCAGGTCCTCAGCAGCAGCCTCATCTGAAGGTTCCTACCCAGAGGGCACAGCAGCCCTCTATGATAACCTCTTCAGAAGAGCCCAAAGTCCAGAGAAGACCAACAATTTGGGGCCCCAGCCAGTCTGGGGGACCACTGGGACCAGTTACCCCCAAATCTTGACAGGGTAGCCCAAGAGGCAGAGCTACCAAGTCAGAGCACGGGCAGAGTAAGACGGCCCAAGCTGCCCAGGCAGGCCAATGCAGATGTGCTTGTCAGGGTTGAAGCCCCTTTGGCAGGGCAGAAAGGGCTGCCCAGTGCCTCTGTACAGGGGGCTCTCTGGGCCTCTCAGTCTTGGGACAATGTGTAGGTAGTGGTGGGTGATGCTTCTCAACTGCCGGAAGGCCAAGCAACACAGAAAGTAAGGTGAAGGCCTGGGCCCCAGCCTGTTTGCTCACCTGTAAGATGGCATAGGCAGCAGTGAGGGGCAGATGTGGGCAGCCTTGAAGTGTGTGGCTGGGTGGGGGCCAGCACTTGGGAAGTGGAGGCAAAGATCTCCTAGGGCCCAGTCCACATTCCTCACGTTCTGCGAGGGGGACACTGCCCTCAGGCCCTGGGAGCTGAGAAGGGCTGGGACCTTAGGACATCAGTTAGACACCAAGCAGAACTCTCCCGGGGAGGCCTGAGCAGATGACCATGAGGTCACAGCCTGCCCGGGCACCAAGGACTTCTACCTGCCCTGCCAGAGTGTGGGTGCCAGGGGCCCAGTTGCCAGGTGACCAGATGCCTGGAGTAGCTGAAGCCTGAAGCGCTGTGTGACTCAGCCCCGTACACCCGCCCATTCGCCCCAGACTAAAAATAAGACGGTCTCTGGGGCGATCCCAGGCCAACCGGGTGACCCGCCACGGCCCCAGGGCCGGTTTCAATCTCCTCATCGGTGACTCGGGGATCAATACTGCCACCCGCCCCCAGAGAGACCAGGAATCTACTTTGCAAACTGTAAAGCGCTTTAAATACTCCCAACCTGTCTAAATTGGGACTCAGCCCCATCTCTGGCGGGGTCGCGCAGGCCTCAGTCCACAGCCTTCCAGCTCCGAGAAGCAGGAAAGGGCACGGGTGGCTGAAAATAACCCAAGTTTGCGCAGCGGGGCCCTGGAGGCCGTTTGGCCTTCCCTCCTCCGCCAAACCTGCCTGCCCTGGGCCCGGGCGGAGCAGGCCGCGCAGCAGCCCTAGGTGGGCGGGTGACGCCCCGTTCGCAGGATAAACCAAGAGACCGAGAGGGGAAGGGGGCTGGGCTAGGATTCGAACGCTGCCCTTGGTCCCCCAAAGGTCCCCTCCCCGCCTTCCCCAGCGGTGATCGCGGGCCACGCCCCCGATCTGCGTTCCGTCGCGCGCCAAGCCCCGAGCCCGGTGACCCTGGGGGCCGCCCCGCCGCGCTCCAGCTGTACCTGCGTCGCAGCTTCCGCACGACGACCGGAGGAGGCAGCGGGACCACGGCCCCGGAGCTCAGACCAGCCTGGGAATGGAACGTGAAGGACCCTGGAACCCAACGACTAGGGCCCCGGGGGCAGCCGCGGACTTCGCAGCACGCAGACAAGCAGGCCCTAACTCCAATCGGAGCGCTCGAGTCCAGCGCACAGGTGCCAAAATACTGCGCGGTTCAGCCAATGAAGGGCAGGTCCCGCCCCCCAGCCGACAGCCGCACTCCCTCTGGGGCGGGACTCCCTGACGCAGTCTGGATTTAAAGGTGCAGGGCTGCATTCCGAGACCGCGAACAGGTGACGTGACAGGCGACCCTCCAGGACGTCTGTGCGTTGTAATGTGAGCCTCCGGTGTGGAGGAAGCTGTCTGGGCCCCGTTCCTTCTGGGGACCAGGTAGAGAGGCTGCACATGGCTAGAGGCCCGGCACATCCAACCTCTTAGGTCACCTCTGCGAGAGAGTGTCTTGGTGGCCTCATTCTTACCTGTGGGCCTGAGGGGCACAGCGCCTACCCCTGCCACCTGCTCTGTGCGAGCTTGTGTGGGCCATTCTCCACCTGGGCATCAGTTTTTCTCCTGTAAAATGGGGACACTAGACCCCCTCCTCCCCTGCGAAGGATGGTTGGGCATATAACAGCTGTGGCTCATTTATTGGGGTCCTGCTATGTGTCAGCCAGGGCGAGCCCCCTTGAACAGCAAGGACCAAGACGGATGCTTCTCTTCTGGAGCCTCCCTTTGTAGGGGGGTACGAGCACAGGGGTGCTGACACTAAGTGGGAATAATAACCTGGCGCACAAAACAAAACAAAACGGAATAATAACCTGCCACTCACTGAGCGCCTGCTGTATGCTGCGAGCTACACGTGCATTCTTTGTTAATTTGCTCATGGTGACAACCTTAGAAAGTATTTTACAAATGAGGAAACTGGGTAGGGCGCGGTGGCTCACGCCTGTCATCCCAACACTCTGAGAAGCTGATACCAGAGGATCACTTGAGGCCAGGAGATCAAGACCAGCCTGGGCAACATAGCAAGCACCCCGTGTCTACAAAAAGTATAAATAAGGCCGGGCGCGGTGGCTCACGCCTGTAATCCCAGCACTTTGGGAGGCCGAGGCGGTTGGATCACGAGGTCAGAAGATCGAGACCATCCTGGCTAACACGGTGAAACCCCGTCTCTACTAAAAATACAAAAAAAAAAAAAAAAAAAATTAGCCGGGCGTAGTGGCGGGTGCCTGTAGTCCCAGCTACCCGGGAGGCTGAGGCAGGAGAATGGCGTGAACCCGGGAGGCGGAGGTTGCAGTGAGCCGAGACTGCGCCACTGCACTCCAGCCTGGGCGACAGAGCGAGACTCTGTCTCAAAAAAAATAAAAAATAAATAAAATAAATAAATTTAGCCAGGTGTGGTGGCCTGCGCCTATAATCCCAGGTAGTCGGGAGGCTGAGCCCAGGAGTTCGAGGCTGCAGTGAGCTATGATCACACCACTGCACTCCAGCCTGGGCAGCAGAGCAAGAAGACCCTGTCTCAACAAAACAAAAACAACACATGAGGAAACTAAGTCCAGAAGCAGGAGAGCTAGGACCCGAGGATCCAGGTGTCTCACTACCACCGGTCAGCCAAGTACAGGCACTTCCTGGGCCTCTGCGCCCCGGGGCCGAGGTTTAGAATCTCTCTGAGGTCAGGGCCAGCTTCATGTGCTGCAGCAGCGCAGGTGACGGTGCCTCGACCAGCGGCCGTTACGGCCCCTGCCCTGGGGCGCTGGGACTTAAGCCTGGAGATCGTGGAAGCCTCCAACTCCAGCACAGGGGGGGCCCGCACTCCTTGGTGCCTCCGCAGTCTTCGAACAGACGGGGAAACTGAGGCCCTAAGAGGCCTAAAGCCTACACTTCCCCGCGGAATGCGGCGGGCGCGGGCGGGTTAAAGGGGCGGGGCCGGCGCTGGCCCAGCCCGCGGCTCCCCCCAGCGCCCTCGCCCCGGCGCTCCCTAGCCCGGCGCGGCCCGGCAGCGAGAGCGGCGCCATGGAGGCCACCGGGGTGCTGCCGTTCGTGCGTGGCGTGGACCTCAGCGGCAACGACTTCAAGGTGAGCCGGGCCGGGCGCGTGCCGGGCCTCCCTGCAGGCCTTCTCTTCCGCCCGGCCCGCTTGGCCTCCGCTTCCTGTCCCGCTCGGCTCCAGGCCCTGCGTGTCCCAGGGACTGCGGCCGGGGCGGGGTGGGGCTCTCCCCTGGCCAGGAATGGACCTCCGAGGCCTCCGCCCAGTGCCTGTACGGGGAGACCGAGGCTGGGCAGGCCGGGGACGGACGCTTGGGCTCGGAGTCCCGCCGGGGGCCCGGCCGGGAGCCCCCACCCCGCGTCCGTGTTCTCGGTCTAGGCTGGATGGTGGCCTGGGGATCGGGCGAGCCTCCCCGCCCCTCTGAGGTCACACGCCCAAGCCAGGCCCTGACTCAGGGATGGCTGCCCGGCTGCCCAGGGGCGGGTGTGGAGCCGACTCATCACTGCCCTCTCCCCGCCACCGCCACCCGCCATACTGTGTGATCCTGGGCCTCTCAGATCACTTCCCCTCTCAGAGCCTAGGCTTTCTCAGCCGGTGAAGGGGCTTAAAAGTCTCCTCCTTGGACGCAAGGAGTATAGTGAGATTTGTTGGTGTGGAGAGTGTGTCAGGCCGGTGTGCCAGGTGCTGGGTGGCAGTTGTCTGAGCAGCTGCTGGACTGAGAGAAAAGGGACCGGAGCCCAGCCCTCCGCAGCCAGTGGGTGGGGCGGCGGGGTGGTTCCAGGACTCAAGAATGAGACAGGCATTGCCTGACCAAAGGGGAAGCAGAGAAAGAGAGGGAGGGAGAGCTGGCTGGAGGGTCAGCCTCACCTTCAGGGTGGGTGACTGGCAGGGTCGGCCTGGGTTGTTGGTCTGGGGCTGGGGCCGAGGAGGCAGGTTTTTCCTGCGTTTACCTGCCTGTGTACACACCTTTGACCCCAAGTACAAGTGGCTACACCACTTTTCCCTGACCCCATCCCCACCACCCTAACCTGGGGTCCCCGTTCCTCTTTGCTGAACTGGGAGAGTCCGAGTCACCAGCTGGGAATGTGGCGCTAGGGGGAAAGGAATATCAGCCGCAGGCACTGAAGGCACCTACTGCCCCAGACTTGGTGCCACAAGGGCTGGAGGTGCCGAGGTGGGCGTTCACACACCAGGGGAGTGCAGTGATGCTGGCCTGCCCTGCAGGGTGGGGAGCCACGGTCTCCGCAAGCAAGGGTTTGACCCTGGCCGTGAGTTGCCAGTGTGCTGATGGCAGGATGAGGGCACAGGTGGCGCCTTTGCAAAGGCTTGGAAGGGGGATCCCCCACCCCAGGCAGCCAGTCAGAGTGTGGAATGCTAGGTGAAGGAATTTGAGCCGAGCTAACCACAGAGCCGGATGCTGGGCTTTCACCTGAAACAAGCCAGTTTTGTCCTGGCCCTCCTGGGGCCCAGAATCCAGTAGGAGAGACAAATCTTAGGCCAACACTTTTGTCACGGGGGGGCTTAAAATTCCCATTCTATGGGTGAAGAAATTGAGGCACAATGATGAAATGACTTGTCTGTGTTCTCACAGATGGTGAGAGTTGGTTCTGTGGCTCCCCAAAGGCTCCCATGGGCTGGAGGAGCCATAGAAGGTGGTGAGCAGGGGCTCTGTGCTTCACCTTGACATCCTTCCCCCAGGGCGGCTACTTCCCTGAGAATGTCAAGGCCATGACCAGCCTGCGGTGGCTGAAGCTGAACCGCACTGGCCTCTGCTACCTGCCCGAGGAGCTGGCCGCCCTGCAGAAGCTGGTAAGGGGGTTTGGGCGGGCAGGGGAGGGTCCCTGTGGATGAGCCAGGTGGGCAGAGCCTGTGGAGAAGGCAGACAACTTCTCCAGAGAGAGGAACACCGACAGCTATGAGCAGAGCTGGAAGAAAGGGAGTGGGCACCCTGTCCAGGGAGGTGTGCAAGAAGAGGCCGGGTGAGTGAGGGAGGGAAGCTGCAGGGGTAGTTGGGCCAGTGTGGCTGAGGCCTTCCTGGATGGTGCAGAGTTGTGGAGGCAGGCAGGGACTCTGGACACCCCACCCACCCTGCTGAGCCTGTGCTCCCCATTCCGGCCCAGGAACACTTGTCTGTGAGCCACAACAACCTGACCACGCTTCATGGGGAGCTGTCCAGCCTGCCATCGCTGCGCGTGAGTGCTGGCCGGGAGGCCACCGAGCTTGGGGTTGGGGCCAAGGTCCGGTCAGGGACGTGAAGCCTGGGCTAGACACCAAGCTGGGCCAGCATTTCTGCCCACCTCCGTGTCAGGCTCAGAGGCTCAGGTGTCACAGAGGGGCCCTCTCATTAGAGGTTACAGCAGTGCCCTGTGTAAAGTAACCCATGTGGATCAGAGAATTCCATCAGGAAAAAGGTAAAGAAATCCAAAATCTTACCAGCCGTTATGGACAATAACTACAGTAATAATAGCCAAGACTGGCTGAGCAATGTTCCCACTATTCTGTTAGGATTTTTTCATATGCTCTAGCCCTCCACTAATGTTGCAGAAGAGAAACTTGGCCACCAAGGCAGATTACTTGCCCCAGGTCACAGAGCCAGGCAGTGGTAGAGCTGGTGTTGAGTGGGGTTTGGCCGGGAGCACCGTGTACCTTCTACCCAAGACTTGAACGTCCCAGAACATCAGGCCCTTGGCCAGACCCTGTAGGCCTCAACGAGGGCCATCCCATCTGAAGTCAGAGCCCTGGAGATGTTTAGGGCACAGCTTCTGACTTGGACTCTCTGAGTTCAAAGCTGGGCTTTGCCACTTCCTGGTGATGTGACTTTGTACAAATCGCTTCTACCTTCTGGGCCTCCTCTGCAAGTGCAGTGGTTGGGAGGGGCAGCAGTGACCCCGTGAAGCAGCAGCAGGGTGCCGCACAGGCATTCAGACTGGAGAAGTGGCGGGGCAGCTCCGGTGACTCCCGTTGTCACTTGGAGTCACGACACCATTCTCTGGCCCTGTTCCCTCATGCTCAAGCTTTCTGCATGTCTGTAAGGTATGAGGAGGTGTCAGTCTTAAGTTAGGGAGAGAAAGCAGACTTCCTCTCCATCCAGATTCTGATTTCTCTGTGGTCCACTTCTCTCCCTCTGTTCTGAAAACCCTGACTCAGACCTTACCCCTATCTCACCTTCTGGAATTAAGAAGAAGAGAAATGGTTTGAACAGAAAAGGTTCCCTGAGGGCCCTGTGCTGGGGCTCCGGGGCACATTTGAGCTGGGCTTTGAGGCATGAATAGGAGCTCACTGGGAGGCTAGGAAGAGCGCTCCAGGAGAGGGAGCTATTTGATCAAAGGCCAGAGGTGAGAGAGTCCTCAGGCCTGGCCTCTGGTGAGCTGCCTGAGGAGGTGTCCCTCTCTAGACTCTGTTCCTTCCTGAGAGTGGAAGCCAGGAATTATAGACTCTTATGGTTTATTCCCAGGCCATCGTGGCCCGAGCCAACAGTCTGAAGAATTCCGGAGTCCCCGATGACATCTTCAAGCTAGATGATCTCTCAGTCCTGGTCAGTGGCTACCCACTCACCTGGCCCCTGTGCTAGCCGGACCATTCAATCCCCACTCACTATAAAAGTCCCTGGGGCCATTGTTATCCCATTTTGCAGATGGGAAAACTGAGTCTTGGAGTGGATAATACCTTGCCTGAGGTCACTTTTGGAGTCAGATCCCTAACACAGGCACTCTTCCTCCCAAGTCCCTGGCTGTCTCCCTTTGGCCCTGAAGCCCCCTCATCTACCCCCACACCCAACTCAGTGCCCTGCCTGATCCCCAAGCTTGGCAGACGCCTGGTGGGGAGGAGACTCCCCTGACCTGGGTCTTGCCCCTTCTACCCAGGACTTGAGCCACAACCAGCTGACAGAGTGCCCGCGGGAGCTGGAGAACGCCAAGAACATGCTGGTGCTGAACCTCAGCCACAACAGGTGCCAGGCCAGTGGGGGGCAGGGGGCAGGTGGGCCCTGTGGGGTGGCTGGTGCTGACTCAGGTGGCTCCTGCTCCCCACCCGTAGCATCGACACCATCCCCAACCAGCTCTTCATCAACCTCACTGACCTACTATACCTGGACCTCAGCGAGAACCGCCTGGAGAGCCTGCCCCCGCAGATGCGCCGCCTGGTGCACCTGCAGACGCTCGTGCTCAATGGAAACCCCCTGCTGCATGCACAGCTCCGGTGGGCGCCCCCTCGGACCGCACTCCTGCAGAAGCCACCCTGAGGAGTCTGGCCGGGCCCCTTCACTTCCCAGGGCCCTAACCCTTCTCCCTTAGGCCCAGCCATCCCTCCGTGCAGGCAGCACCCCTCAGTGTACAACCTCCTAAGTATCATGTCCACCTCTCAGTCCTGTCTTCCCGCTTACACACCCCGCAACCACCCTTGGGCTTGTCCCTTCAACCAGATGTGACCTCACACCTACCCTCTGGGCCCTGTGCTTTTGGTCCTGCCCTGCCAAGCCCCACCCTTAACACTCCCTAGGTGGGCCCTGGCCCTGACCACTCACGTCACCCTGGCAGGCAGCTCCCAGCGATGACGGCCCTGCAGACCCTGCACCTGCGGAGCACCCAGCGCACCCAGAGCAACCTGCCCACCAGCCTGGAGGGTCTGAGCAACCTCGCAGGTCAGGCAGCCCCAGGAGCCCCTCTGAGCTCGGGCCCCCTCTGGGCCCTCTTGCTTCCTTGGGTGGAAGGGGTTGAACCCTGCTCTTCGGACCAATACCCAGAGGGAAAAGGCTGGAGTTATGTTACAGTGACTTTTGCGATTATGATGATGCCTTAACACTGACTTTATGCCTAGAAAACTCCCCCGCAACCCCCATGTGAGGGAGTTTGTCCAAATGGAGAAACTTGGGCGCACAGCAGTTGTCACTTGCCTAAGCCACACAGCTCAGAGGTGGCAGAGCTGGGGTTCACACTAGGGCTGGCTGCCCTGGCACCTGGTGTATGGGCCCCAGCTGATGCACCCCACCCTGCACCCCAGACGTGGATCTGTCCTGCAATGACCTGACACGGGTGCCCGAGTGTCTGTACACCCTCCCCAGCCTGCGCCGCCTCAACCTCAGCAGCAACCAGATCACGGAGCTGTCCCTGTGCATAGACCAGTGGGTGCACGTGGAAACTCTGAACCTGTCCCGAAATCAGCTCACCTCACTGCCCGTGCGTCTGAGGCCCTCAGTAGGGGGATGGGAGGAAGGCCGTGAGCCTGGCCCTGACCTCCCACCCCTGCCCGTTCCCCCTCCAGTCAGCCATTTGCAAGCTGAGCAAGCTGAAGAAGCTGTACCTGAATTCCAACAAGCTGGACTTTGACGGGCTGCCCTCAGGCATTGGCAAGCTCACCAACCTGGAAGAGTTCATGGCTGCCAACAACAACCTGGAGCTGGTCCCTGAAAGTCTCTGCAGGTGCTGGGCAGGGCTGGGGCTAGCAGAGGCACTTGCAGCACAGAGAACCCCGGGATCGTAGTCAGAGCCCACCTTGTGGTCTGTGCAAGTCAGACAAAATGAAGATGGGTTAATTCACCTTTTCTTTTCTTTTCTTTTCTTTTTTGTTTTTGAGACAGAGTCTCGCTCTGTCGCCTGGGCTGGAATGTAGTGGTGCAATCTCGGCTGACTGCAGCCTCTGTCTCCCAGGTTCAAGCGAATCTCCTGCCTCAGCCTCCTGAGTAGCTGGGATTATAGGCGTGCGCTACCACGCCCGGCTCTTTTTGTATTTTTAGTAGAGATGGGGTCTCACCATGTTGGCCAGGCTGGTCTTGAATGCCTGTCCTCAAATGATCAGCCTCCCAAAGTGCTGGGATTACAGGTGTGAGCCACCACGCCCGGCCCAGTTAACTCACCTTTGTGGATGAAGACCACAGTCCCATGCCAGCCATTCCCAACTTGAGCCCCTGAGAGCACCCTTCGGGGGGCACTGTTAGGGACAAGGCCACATGACGTGGGAACGCAGTGTTGCTTCTCTCCCCTTCTGGAGATCACAGTGCCCGTAACATGGTCTCTTGGCTCTGAGAAGTCCTTCAGGCAGAGAATGGAGACCCCCGCCAGTTCCTCTGACCCTACCTGCCTCCCCTCCCCAGGACTAGGGGTTTTCTTGCCCACTTCCCCTTGTCTGTCACCTGCCTGAGGCCCTGGCTGGCCCTGTCTTCACAGGTGCCCAAAGCTGAGGAAACTTGTCCTGAACAAGAACCACCTGGTGACCCTCCCAGAAGCCATCCATTTCCTGACGGAGATCGAGGTCAGGCATGCTGGGTTTGAGAGGGCTCAAGAGAGACAAGCAAGGGGTGTGCCCTGGAGCAAGGGGGACCCAGCAGAGGCCTCCTGAGGGAGGTGGCCAGTGCCAGGGTGCCCGTGGGGAGAAGGTGGGCCCCACCTCCCTGCATCCAGAGTACATTCCACAGTCTCATTTAAGCCCCCAGCCAGCCCCAGAGGTGGGTGGGAGGAGAACCCAGTTCCCTGACCTCTCAGCCCTGGCGGCTGCAGACAAGAGCAAGAAACTGGATTGGTGTGTCTGGGAGGTAGGACCCAGGCTCAGTGCCGGCTCTGCTCACCCTATGGGGCAGGTCCTGGATGTGCGGGAGAACCCCAACCTGGTCATGCCGCCCAAGCCCGCAGACCGTGCCGCTGAGTGGTACAACATCGACTTCTCGCTGCAGAACCAGCTGCGGCTAGCGGGTGCCTCTCCTGCTACCGTGGCTGCAGCTGCAGCTGGTGAGTGGGGAAAGGTCTGGCCTGGGAACGGGGGCTCCTCTCCAGGCCTCAAATGACACATCTGTAAATTGGGTGGCATACAGCTTTCTGGACCCTGGTGGGTGGAGTTGGCCCCTGGTTGGTCGCATGCCCAAGGGGGCAGCAGGCCCAGTGAGGGCTCAGCTGTTTGCCCCTCCCCTAAGCAGGGAGTGGGCCCAAGGACCCTATGGCTCGCAAGATGCGACTGCGGAGGCGCAAGGATTCAGCCCAGGATGACCAGGCCAAGCAGGTGCTGAAGGGCATGTCAGATGTTGCCCAGGAGAAGAACAAAAAGCAGGAGGTGAGCCAGGCCAGGGTTGGGACAAGGCAGGGAGCCTTAGCTTCTGCTGAAGGCCGACCCTGGCCTTGACCCTGGCCAAGAGGGACGGGGGGTGCTGGGCAGAAAGAACAGCTGTGCAAAGGCCCTGAGGTGTGGGTAGCAAGTAAAGACTGGCCTGAGTGGCTTCACAGAGTCAAGCCGTGCTCTGTGACTCTGCCCCCAGGAGAGCGCAGATGCCCGGGCCCCCAGCGGGAAGGTGCGGCGTTGGGACCAGGGCCTGGAGAAGCCCCGCCTTGACTACTCCGAGTTCTTCACGGAGGACGTGGGCCAGCTGCCCGGACTGACCATCTGGCAGATAGAGAACTTCGTGCCTGTGCTGGTGGAGGAAGCCTTCCACGGCAAGTTCTACGAGGCTGACTGCTACATTGTGCTCAAGGTGAGGGCTGGGCATGCTGTTAGGGGCCATGTGGCCCAGTACCTTCCTCTAAGATGGCTCAGTCCCCAACTCCAGAGTTTTGTTCAGGGAGGCCAGGTGGGAGGTGGGCAGGCTGCAGGAGGTGGTCCAGGCACAGGGGCAGTACAAAGCCCCTGGGGCTGGGAAGCCTGTGCTGTTCAGAGTGGCGTCTCCGGGGTGGCCGGAAGACCAGGATGAAAGCTGATGTGGCCGGTGCCTTGGCTTCCAGACCTTTCTGGATGACAGCGGCTCCCTCAACTGGGAGATCTACTACTGGATTGGCGGGGAGGCCACACTCGACAAGAAAGCTTGCTCTGCCATCCACGCTGTCAACTTGCGCAACTACCTGGGTGCTGAGTGCCGCACTGTCCGGGAGGAGATGGGCGATGAGAGCGAGGAGTTCCTGCAGGTGCCAGCCCGTTAAAATTGGGGGTGGGCAGAGTGGGGTTCCCAGGGAACTCTGGTGCAGGGGCAGTGGGCCCAAGGCAGGTAGGCAGAACAGGTGGGCAGGCAGGGAGCTGGGGTTAAAGGGGGTGGATCAACGATACTGTGCGGGACCTAAGGCAGACCGCAGGGTGAGGTCTAAGGTGGCCAAAGCCTGGGTCAGCAAAGGAGAGTTCTGGAACGCGGGGCAGAATTCAGCCGGGCAAGGATAAGGGTACAGGCTGGGCATGGGAGCTAGACCAGTGGGCTGACACAGGGGAGCTGAGAGTAGGGTGGAAGGGGTGTTGCCAAGAGCAGTGAGAAGGCAGGGCCAAAACCTGTTATTAGGAGGCAAGGACACACCTGGATGCCAAGGAGGTGGGGCCAAGGGCGGGACCAGAGTCCAGTCTTGAATAAATTACTGAGCAGTGTTAGCCGCCAGCTGGTTACACCTAGACATATGTTCGCATGTACACACACGTGGAGTTTATGCACACACCCCACCCGCCCCGAGTTTTTTTTACCCACATTCACCCAGGTTTCCACTCTTCCATGAACCCACTTGCTTGTGTACCCTGATATGCGTGCATCTAAACATGCTGCTGGCATCTTTACAAACGTGGGTGAACGTGTCCATATTTTTCATACATCCCAACACCCCGACGTGTGTATGTTTATAGACACAGATGTGTATGTTTTATTTTAGACAGACTCTCGCTTTGTTGCCCAGGCTGGAGTGCAGTGGCACAATCTTGGCTCACTGCAACCTCCGCCCCCAGGGTTCAAGCGATTCTCCTGCCTCAGCCTCCCAAGTAGCTGGGATTACAGGCATGTGCTACCACGCCTAGCTAATTTTTGTATTTTTTTAGTAGTGATGGGGTTTTGCCATGTTGGCCAGGCTGGTCTCGAACTCCTGACCTTAGGTGATCCACCCGCCTTGGCCTCCCAAAGTACTAAGATTACAGGCATGAGCCACCGTGCCCAGCCAGATCTGTTTTTTTTGTTGTTGTTTGTTTGTTTGTTTGTTTGTTTTAAGACAGAGTTTTGCTGTTGTTGCCCAGGCTGGAGTACAATGGCACAATCTCAGCTCACTGCAACCTCCGCCTCCCAGGTTCAAACAATTCTCCTGCCTCAGCCTCCCGAGTAGCTGGGATTACAGGCATGCACCACCACGCCTGGCTAATTTATGTATTTTTAGTAGAGACAGGGTTTCTCCATGTTGGTCAGGCTGGTCTCCAACTCCTGACCTCAGGTGATCCACCCACCTCAGACTCCTGAAGTGCTGGGATTACAGGCATCATAGATTTGTAGCACTCAATTCACCTGTATGCAACTCTGTACCCCCACCTGAGGGGCAGTGGTTGGTGGGGGAGGGGGCAGCTCAGTGATGAAGAACCACACCCTCACACACACAGGTGTTTGACAACGACATCTCCTACATTGAGGGTGGAACAGCCAGTGGCTTCTACACTGTGGAAGACACACACTATGTCACCAGGTGAGGGTGTGTGGGCAGTGGGGGGTATGGACCTGGAGTCTGCTGGCAAGGGGTGGAGGGGAGGGTGTTGGGGCTAAGTTAGGCCCTTGGTGCCTACACTGAGCCACTCTTGCCCTGCGCCCAGGATGTATCGTGTGTATGGGAAAAAGAACATCAAGTTGGAGCCTGTGCCCCTCAAGGGGACCTCTCTGGACCCAAGGTGAGCCCCAACAATGTGAGGTGGGGGTGCTTCATCCTCAGCCTCCTCCCCACCAGTGGGGGCAGGTGTGGGCCTCTTAGAAGAGGAGGCCCTCTAGCAATTCCTGCCCACGAGCTTGGCGGGGGGTCCCTGGGGCTTACCCAGAAACCCCATAGTGAGGGATTTTTTTTGGTGGGGTCAGGAGCATGGGGTGACCATTGCCCCATGCACCATCACAGCTCCTTCCTGCCCCTTCTTGTCCAGGTTTGTTTTCCTGCTGGACCGAGGGCTAGACATCTACGTATGGCGGGGGGCCCAGGCCACACTGAGCAGCACCACCAAGGCCAGGTACAAGGACACCGTGGGGTCTTTTGTGTGAAGGAAAGGGGTGTGAGCCTCGCTGATGACTTTGCATCCTGCTCTCAGGCTCTTTGCAGAGAAAATTAACAAGAATGAGCGGAAAGGGAAGGCTGAGATCACACTGCTGGTGCAGGGCCAGGAGCTCCCAGAGTTCTGGGAGGCACTGGGTGGGGAGCCCTCTGAGATCAAGAAGCACGTGCCTGAAGACTTCTGGCCGCCGCAGCCCAAGCTGTACAAGGTGAGCCCTGCTGCTGAGGCCCACCTTGGCCTCCCAAGTTCACCCACCGACTGGGGGAATGGACTACACACCGATGTAGTTGGCTTTGGGCTCCATCTCGACTTTGGTGGGGAGAGGGTGCCACCTTCTGGACAAGGAACAGTATGAGCAAAGGTCTGGAGGCTGCTTTTGAGAAGTAGCCTCACGGAGTCTTTCCAGGATGGTGGGGCCGTAGGGGAGACAGAAGCACCTAGTGCCAGGGCTGGGAACCTTGGCTCAATTATCTAGATTCTTGTGAACAGGAAAGGGACACGTTAATTAGAAATGGCATGAAGGGCCTGGAGAGGGCAGGCAGGGAAAACTCCATTTAAAAGCCCTTCTGAAAGGATATCCCTAAAAAGACCTTGAAGGGGAGGGGGAAACAGAAGCAGTCAGTGAGCCACGCTGCAGGGCAGGGCTGGTTCCAGAGCAGAGGGCTGTGTGGGTGAGGTTCCTGTCTCCAGATCCCTTCCCTGCCATGCTCATCCTTCCTGCCAGGTGGGCCTGGGCTTGGGCTACCTGGAGCTGCCACAGATCAACTACAAGCTCTCCGTGGAACATAAGCAGCGTCCCAAGGTGGAGCTGATGCCAAGAATGCGGCTGGTAAGAGATGCAGGAGGAGGGCGTGGGGCCAGATCCCTCCCCGTTGGCTGGGCTTTGACCTCCAGACTCCCGGTCCGCAGCTGCAGAGTCTGCTGGACACGCGCTGCGTGTACATTCTGGACTGTTGGTCCGACGTGTTCATCTGGCTCGGCCGCAAGTCCCCGCGCCTGGTGCGCGCTGCCGCCCTCAAGCTGGGTCAGGAGCTGTGCGGGATGCTGCACCGGCCACGCCATGCCACGGTCAGCCGCAGCCTCGAGGGCACCGAGGCGCAGGTGCGCTTGCAGCTTCGGAGGCCCCTCCCCAGGATCCTTCGCACCCTGACATGCCCTGACCCCTGTGGCTTCACTACCTCCCTACAGAGCTGGGCCCAAACCCACCTCCTCTTTGCTGACTCTGCCCAGGCCCCGCCCCCTCTGCAAGCTGCCCCTCCTATTCCTACCTCCGTGTCCGAGGCCCCGCCTCCCAAGCCCCGCCCTAGATCTCCCTTGGGTCCCGCCTCAAGCCTCGGGCTACTTCCTCCAACTCTAATCATGCCGCACCCCTCATGGTTAGTTGATGGCCTCCCTGGCAGGTGTTCAAGGCCAAGTTCAAGAATTGGGACGATGTGTTGACGGTGGACTACACACGCAATGCGGAGGCCGTGCTGCAGAGCCCGGGTCTCTCCGGGAAGGTGAAACGCGACGCCGAGAAGAAAGACCAGATGAAGGCTGACCTCACTGCGCTTTTCCTGCCGCGGCAGCCGCCCATGTCGCTGGCCGAGGTGGGGGCAGGGCCGGGACCGGGGCGCGGGGGGGGGGGTGGGGGGCAGGCCGAGGGCGGGGCCTATGCGCAGAGCGCGCTCAGACCTGCCGCGGGGCGGGTCCCTCTCACCTGCAGGCGGAGCAGCTGATGGAGGAGTGGAACGAAGACCTAGACGGCATGGAGGGTTTCGTGCTGGAGGGCAAGAAGTTTGCGCGGCTGCCGGAAGAGGAGTTTGGCCACTTCTACACGCAGGACTGCTACGTCTTCCTCTGCAGGTACCACCTCAGCACTCCCTTCCCCAAGTCCCTCCCCTGGTGCTGGGGGCTCGAGCCCCTGCTCACAACCTTCCAACCCGGCAGGTACTGGGTGCCTGTGGAGTACGAGGAGGAGGAAAAGAAGGAAGACAAGGAGGAGAAGGCCGAGGGCAAAGAAGGCGAGGAAGCAACCGCTGAGGCAGAGGAGAAGCAGCCAGAGGAGGACTTCCAGTGCATCGTGTACTTCTGGCAGGGCCGTGAAGCCTCCAATATGGGCTGGCTCACCTTCACCTTCAGCCTGCAAAAGAAGTTCGAGAGCCTCTTCCCTGGGAAGCTGGAGGTGTGCCTGGCAGCCCCGCGAGCCCGAGGCCAGGCGGAGGGGTGTGGTGGGGCTCAGACCCAGCGAAGGTTAGGCTCCCGAGGGGCAGGTGGGGGTCCAGGGAGCTGCCCCTAACACTTCCACATCCCCAGGTGGTACGCATGACGCAGCAGCAGGAGAACCCCAAGTTCCTGTCCCATTTCAAGAGGAAGTTCATCATCCACCGGGGCAAGAGGAAGGCGGTCCAGGGCGCCCAACAGCCCAGCCTCTACCAGATCCGCACCAACGGCAGCGCCCTCTGCACCCGGTGCCTGGCTGGGGGAGGACGCAGTGGCGAGCAAGCGTCAGGGAGCCAGGCCTGAATCCTTGCTGATGCCCCATCCCTTCCACAGGTGCATCCAGATCAACACCGACTCCAGCCTCCTCAACTCCGAGTTCTGCTTCATCCTCAAGGTGGGGTTGTGGGTGTGAGCCAGGACTCCGTGGACCAAGGGGTGGGGTGTTTGGGGGCTGAGTCAGCTGCGAACACCCCCACCCCTGCACACTCCCCAGGTTCCCTTTGAGAGTGAGGACAACCAGGGCATCGTGTATGCCTGGGTGGGCCGGGCATCAGACCCTGACGAAGCCAAGTTGGCAGAAGACATCCTGAACACCATGTTTGACACCTCCTACAGCAAGCAGGTCAGGAGGCGGGCGGGCAGGCGGGCACACACAGAGGAGCCAGGGCAGGCAGGGGCCCTGGGCTGGACTGGCCTTTCCCGCAGGTTATCAACGAAGGTGAGGAGCCTGAGAACTTCTTCTGGGTGGGCATTGGGGCACAGAAGCCCTATGATGACGATGCCGAGTACATGAAACACACACGTCTCTTCCGGTGAGGCCAGGGCCCTGACCCTCCCCTCAGTCCTGGCACTGCTGCTTATGACCTCTGGCCTCACCTTGACCCTTGATTCCCAGGTGCTCCAACGAGAAGGGCTACTTTGCAGTGACTGAGAAATGCTCCGACTTTTGCCAAGATGACCTGGCAGATGATGACATCATGTTGCTAGACAATGGCCAAGAGGTGTGATGTTGCCACTAGCCCTGCCCATCCAAGGAGGCGCCCATAGACTTACTTACAAATGGGAATTCTCGGGCCAGGAGCAAGGGGCTGTTCCCAGGCACCCATGCAACCGTATCTCCCCTGCTGCCCCCACAGGTCTACATGTGGGTGGGGACCCAGACTAGCCAGGTGGAGATCAAGCTGAGCCTGAAGGCCTGCCAGGTAATCTGGGTGGAGGGAGGGCCGAGGTGGGCCTGTGGGCAGGGCAGGGTCATCACCCAAGGCTCGCTGTCCCCTTGCCAGGTATATATCCAGCACATGCGGTCCAAGGAACATGAGCGGCCGCGCCGGCTGCGCCTGGTCCGCAAGGGCAATGAGCAGCACGCCTTTACCCGCTGCTTCCACGCCTGGAGCGCCTTCTGCAAGGCCCTGGCCTAAGACAGGCTGGCACAGCCCCAGGCTTGGTGAGGAAGAGGAAGGGGCCTCATCCACTGTCTGCTAGCAAAGAATGTACTCAGGTGACACCACCTGCTCCAGCCACGTCCAGTGCCACAGTCCCCAGTAGCCTCAAGCAGCACCAATGGGGATGACCCTGACAGGTGCCCTCAGGGGTCTGGGAAATCCAACTCTCTCCACAGTGTGAGTGCACGTGTGAAGCCCCCTCACTCTTCCGCTAGGGATAAAGCAGATGTGGATGCCCTTTAAGAGATATTAAATGCTTTTATTTTCAATATTAAAAATCAGTATTTTTAATATTAAAATGGCGCTAATTTTAACAAAACGACAGAAAAAAACCCCAAGGTACAATCTACAGGGAAACTCATCTTGACCCCCCCCCCTGCCCCCCCCCCCCGCCGGACACACACACCTGACTAGGCCCCAGATGTGGGTGCCCAGCAGAGCTCCCAGTCACATCCATGCCCGCACACACACACTCATGACAGGCTGGGGACTGGCCCAGAAGCAGGTACCAAAATAGTTTAGTTTTAGAAACAACTGTCCAGCCCAGGCGCTAGAAAAATACTCTTTGCAGGGCTGGGCATGGTGGCTCACGCCTGTAATCCCAGCACTTTGGGAGGCTGAGGTGGGTGGATCACGAGGTCAGGAGATCGAGACCATCCTGGCTAACATGGTGAAACCCCATCTCTACTAAAAATACAGAAAAAATTAGCTGGGCGTGGTGGTGGGCGCCTGTAGTCCCAGCTACTTGGGAGGCTGAGGCAGAAGAATGGCGGGAACCCAGAAGGCGGGGCTTGCAGTGAGCAGAGATGGGGCCACTGCACTCCAGCCTGGGCGACAGAGCAAGACTCCGTCTTTAAGAAAAAAAAAAAAAAGGAAAAATACTCTGCAAAGTGAGGGGGAAGGATGGTGTGTGGAGGGGGGGAGGTGGCACAGGTGCTGGGCCCCACCTGTCCTCTTCCCTAGGCAGTGGGCCCCCAGGGCAGCCAAATGCCTGCAGGAGGGCTCAGTTCTGGCCCAGGTCCCAGGCCCACACCCTGGGGCTGGTGCTGCTCCAGGGCCCAGGGTCAGGCGGGACAGGACAGCAGGTCCCAGTGGAGCCTACAGGTTAGCAGGCGTGGTTCTATGTTAAGGGGCCAGGCAGGTGCCAGGGATCCAGCACTCCAGCTCCGAGCAGGGCAGGTGGAGGTCGGGATAGTTCTGGCCTTCCTGGAAGAGGGAGAGAAGAGGTATCAGCAGAAGGTGAGGGAGGGCAAAAGGGCAGATGGATTGCCACAGCGGCCAGACCACACAGGTGCTGCCACTGTCTCCTCTGCAGGGCAGGCATGGCCCTTCAGTGACCACCTGAGATGGGCTTGCTGAGTCTCCAGATGGGTATCCAAGCGCCAGGCCACATATGCCCCACTGAGGCCAGGGAGAGGCACCAGACAAAGAGCTGGGAGGTGTCCATGTCCTGTGCAGGGTGAGGCTATGGCCTACAGTCAGGTGCCTGGGAACATGAGGCAGCAAATGCGCTGGGCAGATCTATGGGCCCCACATCTAGGTGAGGATCCACAGACTCAGGCAGGGGTAAGTCAGCCACTTGCTGGGCCCAACCGATGAGACCTGACCTCGTGCACCTCAGTGATCTCATCTATGAAACAGGCTGGCCAAACCAGCTCCCAAGCCCCAAACTACTGCCACCTCTAAGTGGTTTAATCTGGTCTTGTTGGCCGGGTGCGGTGGCTCACGCCTGTAATCCCAGGACTTAGGGAGGCCGAGGCGGGTGGATCATGAGGTCAGGAGATCGAGACCATCCTGGCTAACACAGTGAAACCCCGTCTCTACTAAAAACACAAAAAATTAGCTGGGTGTGGTGGCGGGCGCCTGTAGTCCCAGCTGCTCAGGAGGCTGAGGCAGGAGAATGGCATGAACCCAGGAGGCAGAGGTTGCAGTGAGCCAAGATCACGCCACTGCACTCCAGCCTGGGCGACAGAGCAAGACTCCGTCTCAAAAACAAAACAAAACAAAACAAAACAAAACAAATCTGGTCTTGTCCTAACCACCACCTGTCACATGCAAGGGCTGAGGGGCTGGCCCTGCTTTTCTAATACCCAACCATGACACTGGTGTCTGTGTGAGCACCAGAAGTCCCCAATTGAGGCACTCCATGGAAGGCAGCCAGGTTTCAGAGAGTGCCATCACATGGGCCTGCCAGGGTCTCAGGTAGAAGACCAGGGCCAAATGGTACCCAGACGGGCTGAAGGGGGTGGACGTCACCAGTGGTGAGGACCAGGGCCCCACCCCTGCAGCACCTCATTTGATCAGGATGGCACAGGCGTGGGCCTCGTCTTCTGCCAGGTTCCTCAGGTTCTTCTCTGACTCCTCAGAGGAGCTGCGAGATGGGGATGGTGCTCAGGGGTGGGGGCGGGGGAGCCCCTGGCAGCCCTGGGGACGGAGGCCTAGGGGACAGGGCAGCCCCCCCTGTGGACCTGCCCACCAGCCTCACCCCAGGAAATCCTTCACATCTTCCACTGTGACGTCCCCTGTCGTGTCCAGCGTGGTGTCAGCACTGGTGGCTGAGTCGATGGACATGGGTGAGAGTGCAGCCTCGGGTGGCTCCGGGGTGTCTACAGGGAGCAAGTCATCAGCCCCTACCAGGACCCTTAGCACCCTCTGCACCTGGGGGCCTAGGGACACAGACCCATAAGGCAGCCCATGGTGAGGGGTGGCACCAGTGAGCACACAACCACCCATCTCCTACAGAAGCCTGCCCGATCCCTGAGCTATGTGAGTCCCGACTCCCTCCCCCAGGGCACCGTGGGGCCAGGGTCTGGACCCCTTTCATGCCCCCCTCACCAGGTCCCATGCTGTGGGCTGGATCAGGGCTTCCATCAAGGCTCTGTGGGGCCAGCAGGATGCTTGGGGTCCCGTTAGCCTGGCTCAGCTTGGGTGACTCTCGGATCCTGTAACTGCAGAGATGGGGCCATGATGGGGACCATAGGTGGATGACTTGAGGCTGGCACGCTAGATCCTTGCCCTCCCACTCCTGAGCCCAGGGAAGGCAGATCTCGGGGGTGGGATGAGACCTGGCCCTGGGCACAGGTCCCCCAGGCTAGGAGCTGCCCCTCCACACACCTGGCCTGGGTGGCATCGCGGGGCCAGTTAATGTCCAGAGAGCAGAGCGGCTCTGTGATGTTCCGGGCACTTAGGGAGAAGCGTTCAAATTCTGATGGGGATATCAGGTAAAAGCCTGGGTGGGCAGAAGAATGAGGAGTGCAGTTAGAAGATACCACCAACCACAGCTCCTCCGTGGCCTGGGCCTGTGCCCACCTGGAGTGCCCTTCCTGCTCCCAAGCAGTACTGGTCCCACTCAGTTCGCTCGCCTGAGGAAGGCCTCCTCGGCCTCTGCCCCGCCTCACCCTGGCCATGGCGCGTAAAGACGCACGAAGCGATGCCGCTGATGTCCTCCTTCCGGATGCAGGAATAGTGCACCTGGGGCCGCAGGCCAGGCACCGAGAAGACGTGGACGTCACCCAGGTTGGTGAGGCAGGCCAGGCAGGTCTCAGCATAGTCCTCGCAGGCCACACTGGCAAACGTGGCCAGTGCCACCTTGCGCACACGACAGCCCTCATGGGCCGTCAGCTTGAACTTGGTCTTCGCGCTCACCTTGGGCAGTGTGAACACCTGACAGCAGGTGGCTGGTGAGCACAAAGCCTGGCCCTGTCCTCGTCCCCAGGGCCCCTCACCCTCGTGGCTGCTGACCCAACAGCCCCCACCACAAAGCCCAGCTGCATGCTACGTGGCCTCCCGTGCCTGTACACCTGGCTGCCCCACTAAACTCCAGACTTCACACTGTACTCCAGAAACCTCCCAGGCCCTCTCTCGATCTGTGACAAAATCAATCACAGAGTTATGCCAAGGTTATGCAGCTGGTATCCCCATCAAACCTCGAGTTCTTTCGAGGCAGAGCCCCTGGGGACTGGGCTCAGGGGTCTGGGCCCAGTACAGGAGCCTTGTGTGGCACAGTGAGATAGGACTAGATTCCTGCCCTCCCAGGGGAACTCAGCAGGCTGAGGGGGCATCAGGGTTCTTGGGTAGGAGTTCTCTGCTGGCTGGGAGTGTTTTCTGGGGTGCAAGGGAATTAGGGTCCCAACAGTGGGGGATACAGGCAGGAAGGGTTTCTTGAGGGTCCAATGGTGTCCATGAGGTTGGGGCCTGGAGGGGAGTCCCCCAGAGTCCCCCACAGCCCACAGTGGCTCACCTTGAACTGCTCCTCAGATGCGATGAGCACAGCGTGACCACCCTGCATGTCAGGTGCCTGCGCCAGGTCCCGTGAGGCCTCGTAGGGCTCGGGCAGTGGGCGGCCACGCCCGTCCAACACGGCAATGGCCACCACAGGCGCCCGGTGCATCAGCTGCACCTCCTTGCCCAGCACGGCCTCCACCGCTTGCTCAGGCCGCTTCTCACCACCCACTGCTGCTGCCGGCACCTCCAGTGCATAGGCGAACACAGAGCCTGAGTTGGTGCCAGCCCACATGGTGGGCCCGTGGTGGGCCCCTGCAGAAAACAAGCGCGTAGGAGGGTGCTCCCTGTGGGCCAGGCATCTCCCCTGGGGTCTTCCCACAGACTGCAGGTCCCTCCCTGCCTCTCTTGTAGCCCTGCTTCCTAACTATGACACCCTGGGACTCAGGGCTGATTCCCTCCTGCCCCATGCCTCCCTGGTGACCTCCAGCCTCGAGGCCTGAGACCCCAGCTCTATGCTGCTGACTGCAGTCGGAGCCCAGGATGCAGCCCTCCTGCAGAGGCCCGAACAGCTGTAGCGCATCTGCACAGAATGCTGATGGGCACCCAAACCAGACCTCCAGCCCCATCCCACTGCACCCTCAGCCCCCATCTCAGTAAACGCAGCTCCATCCTAGCATCACTCAGGCCCCAAGCCCCACAAGACCCCGACTCCTCTCTCCACCCCTGCGTCCCCTTGCTAGTCCTGTCGACAGGTGTGCCTTGTCTTAGCCCTGCTTCACCCCCACTGTCTTCAGTGTGCTCCCTACGTGGCAGCCAGAGGAAGCCGCCAAGCCTGGGGACACCTAGGACGACCATCCATCGACCCTGCTCTGCCTGTGTGAACTGAACCTCTGGGTGACAAGCTTTAGTGGAGAATCAGAGCCCAGCCCAGCAGAAGCAAGAGCAGACTCGGCACCTGCTCCCTGATGACCCGATGGATCCTGAGGCATTAAGTGTCTGCACAACTCAAAACATGCCCAACAGGAACCCCAGCCGGCCATGAACATGAACCCATCGGCCTTCTCGGGCCAGTGGAACAAGTTAAAAACCCCAGGCTCTCCTCTTCTAGGTCTTTGTAGTCAAAAAAAACAAAAAGTCAAAGAACCCCCCACCCCCAGCTGCACCCGCCACATCCAGACAGTGAGAAAATCCACTGCACAAAGACCCTCGACAAATAAATGGCATCAGAAAGCTGAGCTCGTAGACCAAGCAGATGACACTCAG